>NC_000010.11:81809761-81961277 GCF_000001405.40 Homo sapiens
GAACAGAAACCAATGAAATTGAAAATAGGAAATCAATAGAGAAAATTAACAAAACCAAAAGCCCATTCTCTGAAATGATAAATAAAATTCATAAATCTCTATCCAGGCTAACTTAAGAGAGAGAGAGATGGAGAGAACACAAGTTACCAATATCAGACATGCAGGAAGGAACATTACTACAGATCCTACAGACATACAGAGCTAATAAAACACTATGAACAATTTTATGCTCACAAATTTTATAATCTAGATGAAATGGACCAATTCCTTGAAAGACAATTTTTAAAAACTCACACAATACTAAATAGACAATCTAAGTAAGCTTATGTCTCTTAAAGGAATTTAATAAATAATTAATAATCTTTATAACAGAAAGAACCATGCCGAAAGTGGCTCAGTGGTGAAGTCTACCAAACATTTATGAAAAATAAATATCAATTTTCTACAATCTCTTTCATAGGAGCAGAGGGAATAATTCCTATCTCATTATATGAATTCAGCATTACCCTACTGCTAAAACTAGACAAAGACATTACAAGAAAACTACAGATTAATAATATCTCTCATACACATAGGTACAAAAATTGTCACCAATATATTAACAAATAGTATTCAATAATATACAAAAATAATTATACACCACAAATTAAAGGTGTTTATCCCGGGTATGCAAGGCTGGTTCAATATTCTAAAATCAATTAATGTAATTATCATATTAATTAAAAAATTACATGATCAGTAGATGCAATATCAGTAGATGCAGGAAAAGCATCAGACAAAATTCAATACCCTTCCATGATTTCTTTAAAAAGTGTGGGGGAGAAGGGGTGAGTCAAATAGGAGTACAGGAGACCCTCCCTAACTTGATAAGGAATATCTACAAAAATCTTACAGCCAACATTGTATTTAATGGCAAGAAATTTGAAGCTTTCTCACTAAGAATGGGACCAAGGCAAGGATGCTTCCTCTTACCACTCATTTTCAGCATTCTACTAGATGTTGTGGCCAATGTAATAAACCAAGAAAAATAAAATGAAAAACACACTGATTGAGAAGGAAAAAATAAAACTGTCTTTTTTAGCAGATAACAGAATCATCTATGTAGAAAACCTAAAAGATACAAGGTTAATATACAAAAGTCAATATTATTATTACTAAAATTACAAAAATTATCCAGGCATGGTGGCGTGCACCTGAAGTCCCAGCTACTTGGGAAGCTGAGGCAGGAGAATCACTTGAATCTGGGAGGTGGTGGCTGTGGTGAGCCAAGATCACACCAATGCACTCCAGCCTGGGCAACAGAGCAAGACTCCATCTCAAATAATAGTAATCTTGATGAATTTTAATGAATTTAAATATCATTTAAATTAGCATCTTCAAAAATGAAAACTTAGGTATAAGATGTACAAGATCTATATGAGTAAACCTACACAACTTCAATAAATAAAATCAAAGAACTAAACAAATGGAGAGATATACTATGTTAATAAGAAGACTCAATAATATCAAGAGGTTAGTTCTTCCCAACTTGATCAATAGATTCAATGAAATCCCAACAAGTTATTTTGTGGATATGGATAAATATTTTAAAATTTGCCTGGGTGCAGTGGCTCATGCCTGTAATCCCAGCACTTTGGGAGGCCAAGGCAGGTGGGTCACAAGGTCAGGAGTTCGAGACCAGCCTGACCAACATGGTGAAACCCCATCTCTACTAAAAATACAAAAATTAGCCAGGCGTGGTGGTGCATGCCTGTAATCCCAGCTACTCAGGAGGCTGAGGCAAGAGAATTGCTTGAATCTGGGAGGCAGAGGTTGCAGTGAGCTGAGATCACGCCATTGCACTCCAGCCTGAGTGATACAGCGAGACTCCATGTCAAAAAAATAAAAATCTAAAATTTATATGAAGAAGCAAAAGATTCAGAATAGCCAAGACAGTATTAAACTATATTAAAGGAGAAGAACAAAGTTAGAAGACTGACACTACTGACTTTAAGATTTACTACAAAGCTGAAGTAATCAAGATAGTGTAGTACTGGCAAATGAATAGACAAATAGATAAATGGAACAGAACAGAAAGCACAGAGATAGGCCCAAATAAATGTAGTCCATTGGTCTTTGACAAGCAAAGGCAATACAAGGGAGAAAAGAGTCTTTTCAACAAATGGCACTAGAAAACTGGATATCCACAAGCAAAAGGATGAATCTAGACACCATCCTTCCAACCCTTCACAAAAAGTAACCATAATGGACTACAGACCTAATTTAAAATTAAAACTGATAAAACTCCTAAAAGATAACAGGAGAAAACCTAGATGACATCGGATATGGAAATAACATTTTAGGTACAACACCAAAGGCATGATCCATGAAAAAAAAATTAATAAGATGAACTTCATTAAAAGTTAAATATTGTTCTCTGTGAAAGATACTATCAAAAAAATGAAAAGACAAACCACAGACTGGGAGAAAATATTATGAAAAGACACATCCAATAAAGGACTATTATACACAATTTACAAAGAAATCTTAAAAACTCAAAAATAAGAAAACGAATACCCTGATTAAAAAAATGGACAAAATAACAGGCACCTCACCAAATAATATGATACACAAATAGCAAATAAGCATATGAAACTATGTTCCACATTATATAGCACCAGGGAAGTGCAAACGAAAACAACAATGAGCTATCACTCTATACCTTCAGAAGGTCAGCATCTGAAACACTGACAACAAATGCTGACATGGATGTGGAGCAACAGGAACTCTCAGTCATTGCTGGTGGAAATGCAAAATGGTACAGCCATTTCAGAAGACAATTTGGTGGTTTTTTACAAAACTAAACATAAACATATTCTTACCATATAATCCAGCAGTCATGCTCATTGATATTTAATCAAAGGAATTGAAAACTTATGTTCATCCTAAAACTTGCACATGGACGTTTAAAGCAACTTTATTTATAATTGCCAAAACAAGCAACTGAGATGTTCTTTAGTAGGTGAATGGATATATAAACTGTGGTACATCCAAACAACAAAACATTATTCAGTGCTTAAAAAAAAGAAACAAACAAGGAAAAAATGTATATATCAAGCTATGAAAAGACCTGGAGGGACCTTAAAAGCATATTACTAAGTAAGATAATCCAATCTGAAAAGGCTATGAACTATATGATTCCAACAATAAGACATTCTGGAAAAGGCCAAACTATGGAGACAGTAAAAAGATCAAGCTGGGTGTGGTGGCTTATGGCTGTAAGACAAGGACTTTGGAGGCTGAGGCAAGAGAATCACTGGAACTGAGGAGTTGAGCCCAGCCTGGCCAACATAGCAAGACCTTGTCTGTACTATAAAAAAACAACAACAAAAATTAGCAGAGTGTGGTGGCACATGCCTGTAGTCCCAGCTATTTGGGAGGCTGAGGCAGCAGGATCGCTTGAGCCCAGGAGGTACAGGCTGCAGTGAGCTATGATCATGCCACTGCACTCCAGCCTGAGTAACAGAGCCAAACCTTGTCTCAACTTAAAAAAAGAAAAGAAAAGAAAAGAAAAAGTCAGTGGTTGCCAGCGGTTGGATGAAGGGAAAGATGAATAGGTGGAACACAGAGGATTATTAAGGCAGTGAAAATACTGTGTATGATACTTGAATGATGGATACATATCATTATATATTTACTCAAACCCGTAGAATGAACACCACCAACAGTGAGTAAAGTATGGACTCTGGGTGATTATAATATGTCAATGTAGGTTCATCAATAGTAACAAACGTACCACCCTAGTGGGTGATGTTGATAATTAAGGAGACTGTGGATAAGTCAGGGCAGGAGATATATGGGAAATCTCTCTAGCATTCTCTTATTTTTAATTTTGATTTTGCTGTGAACCTAAAATTTCTCTAAAAATTAGTCTTTAAATTGTTAAATTACATATATATTTTATACAAGTTATATAATATATATTATATTTTTAATATATTATATTTTTATATATTATATACATATAAGTGCACACACACACACATAAAGCAAAGGCTCTACAAATAGCTAAAACAATCTTGAAAATGAATAAAGTGGAATAATGCACTCTACCTAATTGTAATTTAGCTACAGTAAACAAGGTGGAGTGCTATTGGTGAAAGAGTAGACATATAGATCAATGGAACCAAATAGAAAACTCAGAATTAGACCCCTGTAAATATTACCACCTTATTTTTATAAAAATGAAAAAATCAGCAGAGGAAAGGTGGCCTTTATAACAAACAATGCTGGAGTAATTGGGCAATGATGACCAAAAAACAACAAAGAAACACCTTAACCAAAACCTCACACATTATTCAAAATTTTTCTCAAAATGGATCATTAACTTATATGTAAAATATTTTAAAATGTAAAACTATAAATCTCTTAGAGAAAAGCACAGAGGAAATTCTTCAGAATATATGGCACAGCAAAGAGTTTCCAGTTTTGACACACAAGAAAAGATCATTAAAAATAAAAATTTATAAATTAGATCTCATTAAAAACTTCTGTTATGCAAAATATCCTGCTGAAAGGAATGAAAAATAAGCTATTGACTGGGAAAAAAGATATTTGCAAGCCACTAGTAAAAGATGTCTAGTATTAAGAAGATACATAAAACTCTCAAAAGTCAACAATAGAAAACAAACAGTCCAATTAGAATGTAAGCAAAATACACTCAGACATTTCAACAAAAAGTATATAGAGATAGCAATAATTAAATGGAAAGATATTTAAGATAATTAACCATCAGAGAAATGCGCATCACAACCATGATGAAGTATCACTGCACACGTATCAAAATGGCTAAAATAAAAAATAATGATCCCAGGAAATGCTGGCAAAGCTTCAAAGAAACTGGATCACTTACACATTGCTGATTAGAATGGAAAATAGTTCACTGTCTCTTACTGTGCTAAACATGCAACTACCTACAACTCAGCAATTGTACTCCTGAAGACGTGAAGGTATATGTTTATGCATTGCTGGTGGAATTGCAAAACCTTTAAGACACTCTAAAAAAGTTTGGTCATTTCTTTAAAAAGTAAACAAGCAATGACTATGTGACCCAGCAATTGACCTCTTGGTCATTTATGCTAGGGAGATGAAAACTTATGTTTACATAAAAACTTATGCATGAATATTCATAACAGCTTTATTTGTATTAGCCCAAACTGGAAACCACCTAACTATACTTCAATGGGTGAATGGTTAAGCCAATTCTAGCACATCCACCGCATGGACTACTCATCAGCAATAGAAGAAAGCACCCTGCAGAGTTCACGTAACTTGAGTGAATCCCCAGAGAGTTAGGCAATGGAAAGAAAGTAAATTCCAAAAGTTATAGATTATATGAGTCTATTTATATAAAAATGTTAAAATAGTAACATTTTAGAAATAGAGAAAAGATTGTAGCTTGTCAGGAATTAGGGAAGGGAGTGGAGAAGGTGGGAGAGGGAAGGTAGATAATGGCTACAAAAGGGCAACAGATGGGATCCTTGTGGTGATGGAACTATTCTGTATCTTAACTCTGATGCCGAATACAGCACACCTATCTACATGATGAAATTGTATATGAGTTTAATGACTTTTTTTTCCTACACAACAATCAACACAAGAGCATTCCCAAACCTCTTTTAGACCTGTCAGGTTAGTTTGTTGACAGATATCTAGATGAACTTTCTTTTCCAAATAAGTTATTCTCTGTGAAAGCATTTTGAAACTGTCTGAATTTACAATACCTACCAGGTATGGGAATCTAAGTTATGAAATTAACATAAACATATTTGCACCGTGATGAAAAAACTAAAGCATCTTAGCAGAGGCAAAAGGTAATCCTCTATTCACCAGAAGGACCCCTCCATGACTGATGGAACTGGAAGACCAATGGAAAACATGCCCCAACAATGGCAAACTGCCTGTCAAACATCACAAATGACACAAAAAAATAAATTTCTATAAGAGAGTCATAAGTTACAGCAAATATAGGAATATGAACCCCAAGAACTAAAAAAATTGTCAATTTGTTGTTTCAAAGTACTATAAATGTATTAATATCAACAACTAAAGAAGATAAAACATAAACAGAACAAAAAAAATGATAAAACAACCAGAGGATATTTGAAAGAACCAAATAAAATTACAGAAATGAAAACAATAATCATTTGATGTGGGGAAAAAAGCCCTCAATGGACAGACTAAACAAAAGATAGGCACAGTTGATAAGATAAATAGTTAGAGCATGGATTTGAGGAAAAGTCATGTAGAGAGTAGAGTAGAGAGGTTATTAAACAGAAAAAAATAAAAAAGTTAGGAACATGGAAGACAGAAGAAAAGGCACCAAATTAAGTCAAATAGGTTTTCCAGAAACAAAAAATAACAGGAAATGTGAATATAATATATTTCAAAATATAATGGTAAAAAATTTTCTAGAATTGATAAAAGATAAACTCTTAGATTGAGGGACCACCCAAAATACCAAGAAGGATGGTTTACAAATAGAAAATGTGGTTGATAGCAATTGTTGGTAAGAATGTGAGGAGTCCAGAACCCTTGTGCACTAAGTACATGTATGGCAAATTGGTATAGCCACTCTAGAAGACGGTCTAATATTATAATGTAAAATTAATTCTAGAACCCAGTGCGAGTACAGAAACACTTTTAGAAGTATTCCTGTACTCTCTTTTAGAAGTATGTCTGACTTCTGCTTCTGGAACTACATATCATACCCACCCTCACTCTCAAAAAATATTCTTAAATTGATCCGTAAGGGAACATTCACAAAAGTGCTTTCCATACTTATCTTTGGGTTAGTAGAGACTTGGAGGCAATCCAGGTGTTTGTCTCCAAAAGATAATTTAAATGTAGTGGATGGTAATTCCATTTTTGCCATAGATAGAGCAAAGGAGCCCAGCATGAGGGTTTGACCAAATAGCTTAATCCACCATCAACAAGTAGAAGTTCCGTCACCATTTAACCTTGTCGCTTCCCCATTCTCTGGTCTTATTTCAAACATTCTTATTACATGAATTTTGAATCTTTTTATTTTACACTCCACTTTTCTCAAGCTCTCATATTTTCCAACATTAATGGTTTTTATTTTTTTTTCCATCTGTGCTGTATTCTGGTTAATTGCTCATATGTTAATTCAGTTTATGATTCTCTCTTCATTTGTATCTAATTTGCTGTTTAAATTGTTGATTGGATTTTTTATTCCAATGACTTTATTTTTTATTTCTGGAAATTTGATTAGCTTCTTTTTACAGATATTCCTTTTATAGTGTTTGTATTTTCATGGGATTTTAATTACTGTTAAAATATTTTGGTGATATTAAACTTAATTAGTTTGTGTTCTCTTTTTAATTGTTTTATTTTCACAGTGTTTCAGGCTTTAATATTTCTGTTAATTGAGTCTACTAACACTCCATTTTGGTGCATTGTTTAACTTTTTAAACAATAAAAATCAAAAAAGCTTTTATTGTAAGCTAATCTTTTTTTTTACTGTAAAGATCTTTTCATAGCATAAATTATGAAACTGTCTGGGTAAAGAGATTTTGTGTTCATGACGGTAAGAAATTCTAGGGCTATCACTTACCCAGAATTGGTGCTCATTTTATTTTCTAAATATTTAGAATCCAAGATATCTTTTGGTAAATTGAATCACAATATGAGAGGTTTTCGGACTCATAGAAAATTTTCTTATCCCACATTGCAGGCAGAGAGGAAATGAACAAAATATTTTCTTTTTCTTTTTTTTTGATTTTTGGTTCTCTGTTCAATTTAGGTATAATCCTCATAGGATTAAGGCTTTTCTTTTGGGTAATACAGTTTTAAATTTTCATCCCTGTGAATCAACATTTTCCATTACTGTCTCTATAGACATAAAGCCCCACTCTCTAGACCAGGGCTCTCAACTTGAGTACTGTTGACTTTTGGCGTCACAGAATTCTTTGTTCTAGGTGGTTTTCTTCTGTACTGTAGAATGTTTAGCAGAATTCCTAGCTTCTACCCTCTGCATGCCATTAATACCGTTCATACTATGCCACTCCCATAGTTGTGACAAACAAAAATTTGTCTGCGGATATTGCTTAAGTGTCCCCCTGCTTCAGGGCAAAATTATCTCTTAGCTACTTGAGAGGCTGAGGCAGGAGTATCACTTAAGAACCACTTTGGGCCGGGCCCAGTGGCTCATGCCTGTAATCCCAGCACTTTGGGAGTCCGAGGTTGTTGGATCACCTGAGGTCAGGAGTTTGAGACCAGCCTTGCCAACGTGCTGAAACTCCATCTCTACTAAAAATACAAAAAAAAATTAGCTGGGCATGGTGGCGCTTGCCTGTAATCTCAGCTACTTGAGAGACTGAGGCAGGGGAATCGCTTCAACCCGGGAGGCGGAGGTTGCAATGAGGCGAGATCATGCCATTACACTCCAGCCTGGGCAACAAGAGCAAGATTCCATCAGAAAAAAAACAAAACAAACAAAAAAAAACACCACTGATGTATGTTACTGATCTTTATCTCTTTCAATTGTTCAATCCTCCTGCCTTCCAGCCCCTCCCCACCATGAAAGCAGCACTGCAACAACTCCTCACACAATCATTTCAGTAATTTCCAGTTTATTCTCATTTTTCTGTCCTGGTACCTGAGAAATTTCTTTAGAATCTAGCAATCTCAGCTATATAGTTTTTAAATGTTTGCTTAAATTTGTTGTGCACTTCTATATGTTTCCAGGGAAAGAGTTTTTGAGTTATTTCAGCATAGCACCTATTGCACAAGCAGGAAGAAGTCCTCTGACTCTCCAAAGAGGATTCTCTTCAAAAAACCTGCTCTTTAAAAACCTGATGTAAACTCCTGATAACCCAATCAAATAATACGCCAATGGCAATTTTAAGCTTCAGGAATATCAACAACATCAAACATCAAATATCATCGCAAGCATCATTAAGTTATTGAGATTCGACCACATGTAGAGGATGACTTTTCATCTTTAGTGTAAAGATCTCTCTTCTGAAATGTAGGCTGCGCATATTTCTATTCATTTGTTACCATTCTTACAAAAGCACTACCAGGAATGTCAGAAAGACATTGTCTGAGATGGTTTGTTCCATCACCATGACCCTAATATGTGTAGCCTATTTAAAAAGAGATAAAATGCTAATTTTGATTCTTATAAAGCATTTCTTCAATTATCAAAATATTTCTTCATAAATTCTTAGATAGTAAAAAATTTTATAGTAATGAAGAGACCATTGGCTTTAGAGTTAGAACCCTAGGATCAAATTCTGACTCTCAATTGTGTGACCTGAGACCATTTGCTTAACTTCTGTGAGCTTCAATCCCTTTTTCAGATTACAATAATTACTGCTTTACTGAAAGTTTTACAGATTTAATAAGACAATGTTTATATATTCTTTACTAAAATATAATGAGCTGGGCACAGTGGCTCATACCTTAATCCCAGTGCTTTGGGAAGCCAAGGTGAGAGGATCATGTGAGGTCAGGAATACAAGACCACCCTGGCAACATAATGAAACCCTGTCTCTACAAAAAAACTTTTACATTAAGTGGGAGTGGTGGTGTGCACCTGTAGTCTTGAATACTTGAGAGGCTGAGGCAGGAGTATCACTTAAGCCCAGAAGTATGAGGTTATGATGAGCTGATCATGCCACTGCATTCAAGACTTGATGACAGGGCAAGACATCATCTCTAAAAAAGTGAAAGAAAAAGAAAGAAAGGAAAGAAAGAAAGAAGAATGGATTTTACAATCATAAAATATCACAATTTATAGATGAATCTATGGGAAATGCTGAGTTTGAGGTTTTTCAAAATCACAGACACAAATAGTGGACAAAATAAAAATTCAGACTTGTAAAATGATTAATCCGAATTCCTAACACTGGAGTTAGTGGCCTCTGCCCTTCACAGAAAGCTAGCTAGTCAAGCATCTGGTCATGTATAGGACAAACACCAGCTTTTCTCAAAATTCTCTGAGATGAACTAAGTCCAGCTTCCAAAATATGAGCCTTTAAACATTTGTTATTTTCTAGGTATAGCCGGTCAAATTCCTCTAAAAGATCACTGCTATTTTGGAATTCTGTTGGAAACCTGATTTCAGGTACTTTGACATGATTCTGGGTTGTGTTGCTAAAATGTTTCAGGGTAATTATAGACATAATGCTATGTTATTTGTCAGGCAGAAAGAGAAATTCATCATACCTCATCATTTTTAGACTATTTGTGGATCAACCAGTGACTTCAAGGAGGGAGCATGAATTATCTGCAACTTTCGTTGAATTATTCAGTACCTACCATGCATGATTCTAATTGTTTCAAAGGTATCTCCCTTAAAAATAAATGGCTTTTCAGCGAAATTTTTGCCTACGTCTTTGTTCGATATGCAACAGCTTTATATCACCACTGAATTATAGAAGAGAAATTTACATTTATTGACAATATATGTGTATATACAGACACATCCACATGAAATATATATGTATATGTATATATTTATGTACACACATATGTAATCTATATATACACATAAATGTATGCATATCTACATATGCATATATGTATAAATACATACAGATACACAAAGCACAAACATACATACATACATATATATACACACACACATAAATATATTCATAGCTCTTCTTTTGAAAGTGATGAACATATTTTTCCACACAGGAAAATATTTTATGGTGAGCAAAATTGTGAATGTAATAGTGATAACAAGGTAACATTATATAAGTGGAAGATACACTAGAAATCAGAGGAGCTATTGAAGGAAGGCTGTGGAGGGCACCCGTGTAATGAGATGGAGAGGAGAAAGCCTTGAGTTCCCTCTAGAGGTTGGTGTATGCAGATGTTTCTCCTCTACACCTTTTTCTCTCATCCTTGTCCTAGGGCAGTTAGAGGAAGGCTGTTCCCCTAGAGAGAAAAATGTAGTATCAGGAAGAGAAGAAAACCTTTCCCTGTTTTATTTTAATTCCATTTTATTTTAATCCTTCTAAGTGTTTCTTAATGGCCATATTGAAAAATGACATAGGTAATAAGATTCCTAAAGATTGATTAATAGTTCCTTAGAACACTCAAAATATCAAGACATTGCTGGAATTAAATTTAGCCACATCTATATTATATCCTAGGTCAAGCAGTGGCTGAACTCTCATTTTCCCATTTCTTTTCTTTCCTTCTTTCTTTTTTTTTTTTTAGACAGAATCTTTCTCTGTCACCCAGGCTGGAGTGCAGTGGTGTGATCTTGGCTCACTGCAGCCTCTCAGGTTCAAGCAATTCTCCTGTCTCAGCCTCCTGAGTAGATGGGATTACAGGCATACACCCCCACACCGGGCTAATTTTCGTATTTTTAGTAGAGACAGGGTTTCGCCATGTTGGCCAGGCTGTCTCAAACTCCTGAACTCAGGTGATCCTCCCGCCTTAGCCTCCCAAAGTGCTGCGATTACAGGCATGAGCCACTGCTCCTGGCCCCCATTTCTTATAATACTTTACTACATGCCCAGCCAGAATTACAAGTCTAGGGTATAAAATGGGTACCAGATAGCAACATAGAATCCCAGAAATATCAAATGTCACATTATTTGTAATGCTATAAAACATGTTGTGAACTCATTATCAATTCCATTATTTGGTATCACAGAGGGAGTAAATTCTAACACAGTGATTACATCCTTATCTTAATCCTGAAATATTTTAAAAGCTTTTGTTTTTCTGTTTATATAATCCTCCCACTTCCTCCTGGCCACGTAGGAACTAAGCCAGAAGCCTCTTCACCATCAGCTAATGCCTGGTATGCAAGTGAAACTGAGGTTGCTCCTTTAACACCTGTTAACATGGAGTACCCACCCTACCTTTCTTTTTCTTTTTCTTTTTCTTTTTCTTTTTTTTTTGTTTCTTTTCAAATTCCATGAAGATATTTTAAAAATTAGAATACCAAGATATCACTGACATTATTTAGACAATGCACTGAAGATCCCCCAAATAAACTGTGACTACTGAAGCAGTTTACAATCTTCAGTACAAATTCCATCATAAAGTAGGAATATTGAAAGAAGAAAACATTACAGTGCCTGGTGTGAATTCATTGTTGCATACCACAGAGCATGGTATTATCTGAGGAAACAAGGTGGTCAGGGGAATTATAAGAACAATAGCAAGTTTTCTGTGTTTCCATTTGAGTGTATCTCCAGCATCTATTCATTCATCCTAATTGTCTAGAATCCACCTGTGAACTGACAGGAATTTACATAAATAATACATTAAGAACTTCTCCAATTATTTATTGCTACATAAAAACCACACCAAATTTTATGCCTTAAAGCAACAACTTATTATTTTCTCTCAGAATTCTGTGGATTGACGGGGCCTAACTAGCAGCTACCATTTGTGAGACTTCAGTCAGATGACCGCTAATGTTATCTGAACATTGACTGGGATGGATAAAGACATGACTCACTCTGATGCAGATAATCACCATTCTCACTGGGCAATCCCACTTGCCTGGAGGTCAGGTGGGATTGTTGCCCAGAGGACCCTCACATGGCCTCCTCATGAAGGTTGGACTTCTCACCTTATGGTGGCTGGATTGCAAAAATTGGAAGAGGCCCAGAAAGAAGCCTCAAAGCCTTTTATGACCTCACCTTGGAAATACAACATCGCTTTCACTAAATAGAATCATCAACAATCATTAAGATGGCCTAGATTTAAGAAGAGGTGAATTTGATTTCAGCTCTTGATGTGAGAAGCAGCATGCACAAAAAGGTAGAAGAACAAACTGATGGCAGACATCTTTGTACACTAGCTACCACAAAAGGTTAACTGTAGTTCTGATTTCCATACCTTGGAGAAACAATTTTTACTACTAATGCAAACTGACACCTCTTCATAACTAAAACACTAAATACTCAGGCAGAATTTTACAATGATGGTATCTCCTAATCCCCAGGTAATTCCTGAATTCCCTCACTTCCTTTAACACTCAATCTATGTATTTAATATCACCTGATCTCTATTTCCATTGTGCAAATATTCTCATTGACCTCCAACCACCACTTTTAGCTTCTTGCACTTCTAGCAGCCTAATCGTAGGTTAAGTGGACAATGTCCAAGGATACAGCCTACATTCATACGCAAAATTTATCATGGGAAAAGCTGTAAGCAATTTCATGGTCTTGCATTCCTCAAACACACGCTCAAGCTGGCTTTTAAAAAATTTCTTCAACACAGTGGGATTCAACAATTCTTTTAGCTCTGAGCCACAGCTATTGAAAGTTGACTACATGGAGAAATAAATAAGATTTCAGAACCCTGTAAAACAATATATCCTTCTTATTACATGTGCTTCTCCCCTAAACTTTGTTGTTTCTAAGCATTTAATATTCTTCCCTGGACCATGAATAAACCGTGCTACTGAGTGAAAAATCTTTCTTCAACTCCTTTTATTTATGATTCCATTTCTTTTTTTGAGACCGGGTCTCGCTCTATCGCCCAGGCTGGAGTGCAGTGGCGCGATCTCGGCTCAACGCAAACTCTGCCTCCTGGGTTCAGCCATTCTCCTGCCTCAGCCTCCCAAGCAGCTGGGACTACAGGCGCCTGCCACCACACCTGGCTAATTTTTTTTTTTTTTTTTTGTATTTTTAGTAAAGACGGGGTTTCACCGTGTTAGCCAGGATGGTCTGGATCTCCTGACCTCGTGATCTGCCCACCTCAGCCTCCCAAAGTGTTGGGATTACAGGTGTGAGCCACAACGCCCGGCCTATTTATGATTCCATTTCAATAGAAATAACTTCTCAATCCCTAAGTGCAACCTAATGATGAGATGAAAATCACTTGAGACCTTCCTGAACATCATCCCACCCACTGATATCTGCTTCCGTCAAGGGAATGGATTGTACAATTGAGTCAGCTGAGACCCTAGAAAATAATTTTTATTCCCACAGACGTCAGACTAGACCCAATAGATCCAAAGGGACCTTAGCTAAGCAGTGACCCATAGAGAACATTCAAATATGATCCCTTAGTATCCCTGGATAAAACCCAGAAACAGACCTTAATGAATAGATTTCCACACAATCTGGAATTCGCACTCTTGAGGTAGAGCTTTGCCCATGAAAACATGATTCTTAACATTTAAAAACATGAATAAATATGCTCAGGCTTAAAAAATAAATGCTTATTTTCACTACCTCCAGAATCTCAGCAACAGAAACTTTCTGAGAATCAAGCCTGCTCATTGAAAGACACACCTTAAACCAAATTTCTTATTTTTGATAAAATCAACCTTGCCTTTCCTTCTCTGAGCACTAGAAAACACTGTCTAGGTGGTGTTCTCTCTTACTGTGGTAAGCAATAAACTTAGTATGCTCTATCAACACGTCATGCTGATGTTTAGGGAGCTGATATTCCACCAAAAGTAGTGCTCAGATGATTTTTTTGGATTTGACCCCAAAAGCACAGGCAACAAAAGCAAAAATAGCCAAACTGGATTGCATCAAACTAAAAAGTCTCTGTACAGCAAACAACAAAACAAAAAAGCAATTTATAGAATGGGAAAAAAAATTTGCAAACCATACATCTGATAAGGGGTTAATATCTGAAATATAAAAGGCACTCAGACAACTCGATAGTAAGAAAATAACCTGATTAAAAGTTTGTAAGGACCTAAATAGACATTTTTCTTCAAAACAAGACATAAAAATTGTCAACATGTATATGAAAAGGCACACAACATCACCAACCATCAGGGAAATGCAAATTAAAACTGCAGTGAGATATCAGTTCACATTTGTTTGTCATGCTGGACCTCTACTGATTCCAATATGGAGGGCACCTTGTTGGAGAGGCTGCAGAGAAGACCAGAGACAGGGAATGAGACGTTGGGTTTATTGAGGACTTACATACAGAGGCCGTCCAGTGGCAGTGAGCTGGACAGGAGAACGGCTAACGTTTGTAAAAAGCGTGGAGTTTATATATCATTTTTACTTAGCAACCTCCACACAACAACCTCCATTTAACCCAAAACAAAAGGCCCGGATGCCCTGTATGCCCACATCCCAACAAGTGGGCCTGGGGTTCAGATGTCCTGCATAGATAAGGAGTGAATCTTCAGGTTGACCATTCCCAGGTTCCTTAGCTTGGACCTCCAAACACATATTCTTTTTAGACCATAGGGTCATTCTCAGGATATGCTTTTGACAGTGAAGGGATCTGTTCAGGTGTGTTTACATTCTTGGTCTTATAGGGAGGAGAAGAAAAAATCAATTGTCCTTGATGGGTCTGGATCTTAGGCAGAGAAGGACTTTGGGAGGACAATGAGTGGGGGATGTTCAGAGAGAACTTGAGGTTTACTTCAATTCAGCATGTCAACAATCCATATTTTGGCATATCTGTTTCTGAGCCCCAACATTTCTGCATATCATAAATATATACAATTTTTATTTTCCAATTAAAAATAATTAAATTTTAAAAAAAATAGTGCTCAGAATGCTGAAAACAAATCTGTCAAAGTCCTAGCAGAGGGGGAATGATAAAGTTGGCACAGGCATGCAAATATGGCATCAAAAGGTCAAAAGTGTCACTACTATTTTCCCTCTATCTTAGGTCACGTAAAGGATGTGCTCAAATAAGGCCTGTACTTCTCAAAATATTAAGGGCCAATCCTGGCTTTGGGACACTTTCTAGATCCTCTGAATTATCTGACTTAAGGTTAAGAAATATCTAGGAAGTCATCTTTCCAGGTCTTTCTAGGTCATTGCAGATACACACACTTGCAGGTGAAACTGTCATTGCAAAGATTATGGTAGTGAGAAAAATCTAACATAGCTGACTCCATCTTGCTTCTAGCCTTCTAGGCTGGCTGTCTTCATGCATTTCTGGGCATGGGCCAAGATTACTACAGAAGAAATTTAGTTTATAGTTTCACTTGGAAAAGATGATAATGTTACCGGAAAGGGATCTCAATCCAGAGAGGGTTCTTGGATCTCACACAAGAAAGAATTTGAGGTGAATCCATAGAGTAATGTATTAGGAAAGTAAAGGAATAAAGAATGGCTACTCTGTAGGTAGAGCAGCCCCGATGGCTACTGGTTGGCTATTTTTATGGCTCTTTCTTGATTATATGCTGGACAAGGAATGGATTATTCATGAGTTTTCTGAGAAAGGGGTGGGCAATTCTTGGAATTAAGGATTTCTCCCTTTGTTAGACCATATAGAGTAACTTCCTGACATTGCTATGCCATTTGAAACAGTTATGTTGCTGGTGGGTGCATCTTTTAGTGTATTAATGTATTAGAATTAGCATATAATGAGCAATGAGGACAAATGAGATCACTTTCAGGACCATCTTTGTTTTGGTGGGTTTTAGCCAGTTTCTTTACCACAATCTGTTTTATCCGCAAGGTCTTTGTGACCTGTATCTTGTGCTGACCTTCTACATCATCCTGTGACTAAGAATGCCTAACCTCCTCGGAATGCAGCCCAGTAAGTCTCAGCCTTATTTTACCCAGCTCCTTTTCAAGATGGAGTTGCTCTGGTTCAAATGCCTCTGACAATAACAGTCTCTATCTAAAACTAACTCCCTTCTTGCTCAAGGAATGAAAATCTAATGAAAGGCCACAAGATTAGGATTATGGGAGGGGCCTGAACTCTCAGTAGTCACGTGGCCAGAAGCCACAAGATTGGTAACTTCCTCAATTACTCCTGTTATACTGTAGATAACATCACTATTAAAGTACCTAAGATTGGTTTTTTAAAATGTCTTTTAGACTTTTGAATTCTGACAACTGATTGACTCCACTGGAACTCAGGACTCATAACTCATCCAGTCCTGTGGCCCCCACGCAGAGGCAGACTCAGCAAACAAGAACCATTTTCCACAGCCCTATGATTGCATTCCCCAACCGATGAGCAACTCCCATTTCCTAGTGCTCTGCACACCAAACTATCCTTGAAAAGCTCTAACCTCTGGACTTCTGGAAGACTGATTTTAATGATAACTCTATCACCTAAATGACTAGCTTCTTTCTTTACTGCAAAGCCACAGTCTCAGTGAACTGGTTTTTGTCTGTGCAGTTCTTCTTGCGCAGCAGGCAGGAAGAACCCATTGGGCGATTACACACACACATTCATACGCATATATACACACACAAACGTACATGAATACATAGAAAGAGAGAGAGAGACATGGACTGTGCCTATTCTTGCCCCCCACTTACCTTGAGTTAGGACAGCCTTTGGAACAACTCTAAAAACAGAACCGACGTCTTAACACATTAAAAAACTGATACTGTATTGAAGATTCATTCCATGGGGAAATGGGGAAGAAAAGGTATAACACACAGCAGAAACTTAATAAAGTCCCTTATTAGACATATTCATTCTTTCTCCTTCCAAGTTCCTTAAATTAGCAAACCACTCCTCTCTCCTTTCTTTTGCTTCCCACTTAATACAAATCCCTTCTATAGTTCAGAGCAACCCATCCCTTTCTATCTCTTAACAAAACAAAAGTCTGCAATTAGCTAAAATTTTCCTGCTTAGAACGCAATTTGGGGAATAATCATCTGCTACTCCAGCCAAAGCAAGTGGAGGGATGGTGGGGTGGAGGGGGTGTCACCTTTTCTCATAAAAGAATTTACCCCAAAATTTTACATATGCAGTTCATTTGTACAATATTCAAGTTACATCAGACCTCCGTAATTGAACTTTGGCTAAATCCAAATCATGTATGCTGAAAACGGAAGTAATATTCTACCAGAGGAAGAAGTTTTTAATCAAGATGAAGTAACAGGAGTCTATAGACAAATATTCAATGACCTGGAAAATTAAAATGAGGATTAATTTCAACCAACAACTTGCTCTGTGTGTGTGTGTGTGTGTGTGTGTGTGTGTGTGTATGCATGTGCATGTGTGTGTGTGTGTGTGTAGGAGAAAGAAAGAAAGGGACAGAGACAGAAAGGGAAAGAGATTTATTTTAAATAGTGAAAAGCTAACTATCTTTGTTTTTCAGGTAATTATGTGTTTATTTGCTCTGCTGCAACAGAAAGTGGCTGAAACTGATTTACATTTAGGACATAAAATTGAACACTGAATAAAGATAATAATAGATAAGTTACATACATAAATGCATAGTGACACCCACATTAACATTTAAAAGATGTGATATTTTTGTTATGTCCCTAAATCCCTGCGTTATTTAAATGAGGAAAATCACTGATGCTTAGAGTAATTCAGGAGGAAAAGAAAGCATTTTGGTGAAGGGGATAGATGACTGGACTTAGAAGAGAAATAGTGTATGAGTTCTTTCACTGACTGATTGTGTAAGATTGGCCTGATCTCTTCCCAATTTAAACACTGGGCTTTCTTTTTCCAGGAAAATGAAGCAGTTGAATTAAGATAAGCCTCAACCCTGTTTTGCCTATGGACACCCTGGATTTATAATTGTGCTAAAAAGTGTGGCCATAGCCAGAAATATGTAATCACAGTGTTTGAGATGTACTGATTTAGGAGAGGCTTAACAACAATTTGGTGCTGTGGTAGGTTGGTATTCTGTTATTGTTGCTGCTGTTGCTGCTGTCGTTCTGGGAAAGCAAATATTCTTGCTGATCGTCACTGTTCTGAGGTATGTGCATCAAATAATAGGCAGTTTTCAAGCCTCTTTGACAGGTGCAATTACATGCAACCAGACTCCCACACGAATAAGCCTGATGAAGTCAGACATCTGTTTTCCTACACATACAGCTCTCAACCCACTAGTACCTCACGATATTCTTTCTTCTAATGGAGTATGAGAAGTGGTAAGTTCTCAGGAATTTGAATACTTGAATTAATCCACAAACAGCCCAGCCATCTACCATGGCCATAGATGGACACACAGACATGAGATGACCCAAAGGAGAAACATATAGTGAGGACAGTGCCAGACCAATGGAACAGCAGGAAGGAACTGCTGGCTTTTAGCTTCAGAATTTACCCTAATAGTGTAGGTTAACTTCCTGTGCACATCAAAGTCTCGTTTTATCTAGAGTGAGAAGGCTTAAAGCTTTAGATTAAGGCCAAGCAATTTCCACAGTCCTCTTCCAGCAGCAATGAAGAGGAAGAAGAGAATCCAAAAACACAAATTCCAAGAGATGCTGATCACAACAAGTGGATGAATTAAATAACTGTGAGAAAAAATAAAACCTGCAGACAGAGCATGAACTGCCTGCTCTTCACACTGAAGGTTGTATCCCTCAGAACTGAAACTCAGTGGCTGCCCTTGTCATGGGCTTATGGCCATTCTCTTGGAAGAGATGGATAACATGGAAGGATGTCTGGGTGACATTGCTATTTCATAATCCAGGACAATGAGGAACACCAGAGGCCTTGCTAACACAGGAGGCCTTGTTAACACAAGGGCTGGGCTATGCTTTTGCTAAACATTAATTCCTCCATTTCATAATGATTTTTACTATTTTGAACTGAATTGAATATAAAGATTGCTTTTTCACTGTAACTGAGTTATACCCTGTTGATATATATCTATTGATAAATTACATGCAATCACATCCTCCCCAATGCCTAATTAATAAATTCATCCTTTGATAGGTTTGGTTTTATAAGTTGAAGGTCACAAAATGGAAATTTACTTCTTCTCTTTCTTTCTCTCCTAATCAAAATATTGGCTGTAACAGTATTTACTATCATATAACAAATTACATTGACTATGTGCTATATCACCTGATTACTTATTTATTTATTTATTTTATTTTTTTGAGACGGAGTCTCGCTCTGTCACCCAGGCTGGAATGCAGTGGCGCAATCTGAACTCACTGCAACCTCTGCCTCCTGGGTTCAAATGATTTCCGACTAATTTTTGTATTTTTAGTAGAGATGGGGTTTCATCATGTTGGCCACACTGGTCTCGAGCTCCTGACCTCAAGTGATCTGCCTGCCTTGGCCTCCCAAAGCACTAGGATTACAGGCGTAAGCCACCGTGCCTGGCTTCAACTAATAATTTCTATTTAAAGACTGTATAAGAGATAATTCTTTATAAATGGAAGATTAACAAGAGATTTCTATGTAAATCTTCCATAGTACATGCCCCTTAGAGCATGATTTTAATATATTTATTTATTCAATACATTTATGCACTTTCAGGTACTATGGTAGGTGTAAGGTAGGCAATACTGAACAGAGCTGATATATACCCCCGTCATTATGACATACACAGATCAACACAGAAATGAATATATAATTTTCATTTTGGCTACATGTGTAATTTTCCTGTGATACTCAATATTACTGGACACTTATTTCAGTGCCTTCTAGTTGTCAGGCATTAAGTAAACAAAAGTAATAAAACTCAGACCAGCATTCAAGAGCCTTAAGCCCCAACTGGAGATAGATCCACATTTACATTGTTCGAAAAATAGTGGAATTAAATGAAACTGAAAAATAAAATTGAAGACAGTGCCTAAAATTGTTGGTGTATTTATTTCTGGGAGTCTGGGCTACTACTTTATCTTCCTTCTAGCCTATCACATATTCCGTATTTTATATATTCTACATTTTGCAATAGAAATATAAGAGTTTGTTTATAATCTATGAATGTATAATAGCACCAATAAATGGTGAAGATAGTAAGTAATGCATTACATCAATTAAGGGAAAGAGTCAAGGGCTGGAGTGTAATGGTAGAAGTAATGTACAAGTTAGCAAAAATGATACCTAGGTGGTAAAAGTCAAGTTGACAAATCTAGATAGAATAGTATAATCAATAAAGTAGAGGGAAGGAAGTCATATTCCAACTATTGAATTTAGCATGTGGAAAGGACCTGAGACTAGAACTTTAATGGTAGGATCTAGAATGCCTTCAGTAAGAGTTTCGAGTTAATATAAATGCTACATTGGAGATGAGGCTGGAAAAGTGGATTGCGGCTACCTTGTGGAGGGCCCACAAAATCCACGGTCATTTAAATAGTGGAGAATAATTTAGGATTTGAGGAAGATGGTTTTAATTAGTATTTATTTAATACTTTTTTTCTTTTTATTGAAATCAGATCTTGCTGTGTTGACCAGGCTGGTCTGAAACTTCTGGCCTCAAGAGATCTCTTCTCTGCTAGGATTATACAAGTGAGCCACTGTGCCTGGCTCAATTAGTATTTACTTAGATGATCCAAGTGTTACCAGTTGTCCTTGTTCTTGCTCCTAAGATGGTGGTGGGCTGCTTCCTAGGTGGCAGCAAGCCTCTTGTTCTCTGACCTGGGGTTCTTGGCCTCAGGGATTCCAAAGAATGGAATCTTGGGCCACACAGTGAGTGTTATAGCTCTATTAGAAGCTGTGGGTCACAAAGAGAACCATGGAACCCAGCAACTAGTGTTCAGCTCGATTAGGGCAAACTCGGGCACTTAGCCGTGCAGGAACAATGGTGAGCCTTTAGCCCTATCGGGAGCGGCAATGGGTGCCTTGCTGGATCAGGAGCGCAGTGGACACCCTGCCAGATCCAGAGGGGCGGAAGTCAGCGGCGGGTCTGTGACGGCAGCAAATAGCAGTGGTGGACGGCGAGCGAAAGCTCAGCTCAAGTCGTAACAAACATGGACCAGAAGAGAGTGCAGTTGCAAGATTTAATAGAGTGAAAACAGAGCTCCCATACAATGGGAGGGGACCCAAAGGGGGTTTCCGTTGCAGCTAGAATGCCTGGGTTTATATCCCGATCATTGTCCCTCCCCCTGTGCTCTCAGGCGACAGATGATTGGCTCTTTCTTTACCTCCTGTTTGTGCCTAATTAGCATTTTAGTGAGCTCTCTTTACTACCTGACTGGTCAGGTGTGAGTTAAGTTGCAAACCCCGTGTTTAAAGGTGGATGCAGTCGTCTTCCCAGCTAGGCTTAGGGATTCTTAGTCAGCCTAGGAAATCCAGCTAGTCCTGTCTCTCACTAGCAATAAAGAATAAAATGGGTTGGAAATGTGAGGTGAGCAGAGTTTAGGCACAGCCATTGACTACTATAAGATGGTTTAGTTGCTCTGACTTCAAGTGAGGACTCTGAATAGTGAAGTAGAACTAATATTGAAAAGGAAGAAATAGATGAACAGTTGTGATTCAGAAATAACTGATAAGACTTACTAACTACTTATGTTTGTTGGTAATGTGATAAGAAACAGTCAAGGATGACTCCAATGCATTGAAACTTGAGTGGCAGGTGCAGTGTCATAGTGCAGAGAGAAAAGATAAATTTGGAGGATTAGGCAAGTTAGAAGAAACAAGATGAGTTCATTTTTGCTGTATGTAGTATGAACCTACAACAGTGTTGCCCAGGGATGTGGTACCTTGGCACACAGGCAACAAGTGAAGGTCATATATTTAGCTTTCAAAAATATATAATCAGGTAGGTGGTAATTTGATTAAGCTCTTTTATATTTTATGGCAACCTTCATCTTTGTATTCCACAGCCTATTATCTTGAATCATTTTAGAAATATAATAAATGATTGCCTAGTGAAAAAAAAAAAACTGAACAGATGACTGAAATCTCCAAGGAAGCATGTGTAGACTTTCATGAGAAGAAAACTGAAAATTGATTTTTGGTGGAGGTATGTATTTGAGGAGTAGGGACCAATTCAAAACACTGGAAGGAGTATATCAAAAGATGATAGGGGAGTAAAGAGAGGGTAGTGCCAAGGAAGCTGAGGGAGTAAGGAATCCTAAGGAAGAAAAAGTGGAAAATAAATTAGAACTCTGCACGTATCAGAAAGAAAGGGAGTAGAAAATAGACCGTAGCCTTTGGTCTAAAGGGGGCTTTTGTGGCCAAGTAAAGAGCTAGTGATTTTAATGAGAGAGAGTGGAAGCTAGATTCCAAAGGAATGGAGAATAGGAAAGCTCCGAGTATGCAAGGACAGCCAGCAAGATCTCCCAATTCGGAAGTCCTGGGGTAAAAGAAAAATGAGATGGTAATGATGGTAGCTCCAAACAGTATGAGAATTGCAGGAAAATGTTTATGAAATTAGAGGAGCTTTCAGCCTTTCAGCAGAAAGAAAGCAAGATAGTTCTTTTTAAGACACCCTTTTTCATTGTTGAATTTATTTAAAACTATTGCTTTTTTCCTTATTATGCTATATAATTCATTACATTTTCAGCAGTAGTTATTAAAGAAATCAGTTTTAAGGACATGTTGGGATGTGCACTAACTTACTTTCTGCTAACTCTTCTGCTGACGCTGTAATCTGCTTGAAACTAATTCAATCTAATTCCGTAGAATGGATTATACTAGAAGAAGATAAATTGATTTTTTAAAGAAAAAGAAAGACCTGGAAAAGTGAATGGCAAACACATTTTTTTTTCACTCAGCAATATCCGGTTAGCTGTAACTGATGTTTGTTATTGCAATAGATCTTGAAATCCTGCCTTAAAAACTTTAATGGGATTAGTGGATCAGTGAGTGTTATTTAAGGTTTTGCCTCATTTACTGTGATTTAGGAAGCAAGATGTACAACAGACAAATCCTAGGCACTTTATGAATGGTGCTGCCACCTAAGGCATACAGCTAGCCAATATTCATAGTGTGATATTTTATAATTTTTCCCTGATATGTGTATTTTGTGTCTATATATGTGTGTAATAAAAGTGCTTTGAGGATTGCAAAGCACTTTTAAAAAATGTTTTTACTTTATTTACTATAAATGCTGTACTCTAGATGAGCTACTTGACCAAAACTATTGAGCCACTTAGTTGATGATCAGATTTTTTTTCAGTAAATAAAGCTCTCTGAATTAATTAATCAAAGAATGTCACAGAAGAACATTCATGGCAATTTTTGTTTTAAACCTGAGGTTCGCAAGAAAGGCTATCAAACCATGAAGCAATCTTTGAAATAGTAACAATAATTATAATATAAAATATGTTGTAACAGTTTTTAATTTTAAAATAATGTATTCATTATATGTTTACATGTTTTATACTCATGTCTACAAAATGAAAATGAAGCTTTAATGGATAAAAAGCCTTACTAAGCTTGGGCGAAACATCAAGGAAACATAGAATAGCACTAATCACTTATCTGAACTATGCACCTTTATACACATCACACATTTAGCAAATAGTCCTTTCTAAGGAGGCAAAATCAACGCTGTTTTTTTTGTTTGTTCGTTTGTCATTGTTGTTGTTTTTGGAGACAGAGTCTTGCTCTGTCACGCAGGAGTGCAGTGTGCAGTGGCGTGATCTTGGCTCTCTGCAACCTCCAGTTCCCGCATTCAAGTGATTCTAGTCCCTCAGCCCCAAGTAGCTGGGATTACAGGGATGCACTACCACACTAGGCTAATTTTTTGTACTTTGAGTAGAGACCGAATTTTGCTATGTTGGCCAGGCTGGTCTCAACTGATCTCAACTCCTGGCCTCAAATGATCTGCCCTCCTCAGCCTCCCAAAATGCTGGGATTACAGGAATGAGCCACACCATCAGGCCCAATGCTGTTATTTTATTGGCTTTTCTTCATCTGCAAAAGTGTGAAGAAGAAATTAAAATGAGTAAAGGGATGCAGGAAAAGTCTTCCCAAACTGAAAAATAAAGTCAGTTCTTATACAACATTTACCAATGGCTACAACTTGTCTACATTTTTATTAGGCACACTCTTCAAAATGGTGACTCGAACTGTTGAAAGCAACAATCATACAATAGCTATCATTCTGACAGTATGGAAATCAGTTTGAAATTTCTGTAAAACATTACACTTACATGTCATATTTGTGTGACAAACCTCTGTTAAATGCTTGCAAGTTTGTAGAATGGTTTATCCACACTATCACATTTAACATTGATTCTGTGAGAGGGGGCTTATTTTGACCATTTCCAGACAGGAAGCAGGTACTGAGAGGTGTCAGAAGTGGTAAAACCTGAATTTTCCATTCAGGCTTACTGTCTCCCAGGCAAGGGTTCTCAAAAAGCATCTTTGTGTGGGGGTATGAAAGAGATTAGAGATCATACGGATATAAATTCAAGTCTTAATTCCAACACCTGACAGGTAACTTTGCAAGCTTTGCTACAAGTATTGTTAAGCTCTCTGAACGTTCTTTGCTGTAAGGTTCTTGTGAGGCTTAAATGAGATAATGTTTATGAAAGCACCTTGTAAGTATTAATTTTCTATCAAAATGTTAACAGTTGTGATGTATTTGCCAAAAGAAAGCTGTACTGATATTTGGAATGGACTTGTGGGAATGATTTTAATGGGAAATAAATTGCCTGTGAAACAGTCCCAATCACGAATGCAAATCCTGCTGGCAAATGTGGCAGAGCCTGGAAAAGACACATTCAGATATTGTCTCCTTATCCCTCTAATGTCTCTGTGACTAAGGGAGTGTAGCAGCTGCTGCTATTACTATCACTGTCATAATCGTTATTTTTAAACTATTGATGGAAAACCCAAGAACAGGAAAGTGTGATGTGCATCTGTCTGTGGTGTGTTTGAAGAGTGTTTACGTGTCTGTGTAAGTTTTAACTCAATGCCCCTAGTACATAGAAAACACTCAACAAATTGTGCTACTATTGCTGCTACTGTTTTTATGCTATTTTATTCAAGAAAGCAAGTTTTAGCATCTGTTATTCAGAGATAATCTCCAGGTATAAGTAGATTCCTTGGATATCAAGAGACCACAAGGAGAAGTATTTGATTTAATTTGGCAATGGGGATTCATTTGAATAGGTAGAATTAATAATGAGTAACGTGATAAAGAGAAAATAACAGTTTTAAAATATTAAATGCAATTTTTGAAGCTGGAAAATTTAGTTGACTATGAGTTGTAAGACTGGGAGTTTTCAGAGTAGCAATAATAATCAGAAGAATTAACATTAGTTGAGCCCTTATGTTACGCACCAGACATTATGGATGTTTTTTGTTTGTATAATCTCATTGGAATCTTGCAAAACCCCCATAAAGTTGGCATCACTTAGATTCTTTGATGAAGAAACCACGCACATGGATAGCAAATGGCTGAGTCTGGCTATGAATGCAGGTAATTTCACTCCAAATTGGTGTTATTACAACACTATGCTATTCCCTCTCCCAAAATACTATTGAAGTTTATAGTGAATTAATGTGACCATGGTGTACAGGAAAGGAGACTTAAGGGGTCCTGTTCTGCACTTTGGTTGTCAAATCACTAGAGGCCAGGGCAAGCAATGAAAGTTACAAATAAATGTTGCCCTGGTGTAAGACAATCAGGATGATGAAGACACTTGAGTCCATGTTACATGAGAGCATTTGAAATCATACTTATATAGTCCAATAATATAAATGAGTCATCTTCAATTATTTATAGGGCCATCAGATGGAAAAGAAATTGGGAATACATTCTTAAGGGATACTTTTAGGATTATTGGGTGAAAGTTACATGGAGATATCAGCTCTCTCAACATATGCTGGAAATTCCTTTAGAGCAGACAAAACATAACAGTCTGACTCCGGATGTCTTCACATCTAGTCCTGTGTCATCGGTGGTATTTAAGCATCAGTTTTCTTATCTGTTATGCAGAAGAGCAATTTAGATAAACAATGAGGATAGAACTGGATGATTTTAAATACTCTTCCAAAATTTGCTTTCTGCAACTTTGAGAAATGGCCAATTAAGCCTTAATAAGACTCTGTGCTGAGGACTAAAAATTGTGAATATAAGTGTGTTTGCAGATTCCTGCCCCGCCCCCCAAATCAGCTAAAAGACTTATGTACCTGTAGCCTGATTTGCTCCCAATTTCTTCCCCTCCATTCTTGCAGGAAGGACAAGGATGCTATTTCCTGCAAGAGAAGACAAATCTGCATAACAGAAGGGGCCATAAGACATGAGAATGTAGTGCTGGCTTGTATACCGTGGGTTGAAGTGAATTGAACAAAACCATCTGAGGGTTGTTCAGAAGATAGACGGGAAGATGGTTTCAGAAAAGTTTCTGTGACCAAAGTTAATATAGGAAATTCCTCTGATGTTCTTTGAGAAGCAAAAGTAAATAATTGGATGTTTCTTAAAATACATTTGGCTGGCAAACTGTGTTTCTTCAAAATAACATCATTCCGGGGTTGAGTCATCCTTTTGGTTTTTTGGGGTAATATGTTAGAGGGCTACCATCCAGGATTTTGCATTTCAGCTCCAGCACCCAGCCATACTCAGTCAGGATGAAAGTCATCACTAAAAATGTGAGTCAAAAGTGTATTTTCATCCTTACTGCCAAGCTGTTGGAACAATGGAACTGATGAGGAAGAGTCCATCAAATCAGGAATTATACAGGAACGCTGAAGAGTTTTCAAGAGGATGATATCCTAGTAAGATTTTCATCATTTGAAAGAAGACTCTAGTCAATTATCAAATTTTTCACAAGAAACACAAACCTATGCATGATCTCTAGCTTGAGCAAAACTCAGCAAAGTACCTATCCATCATGACATACCAATTTGGAGCTTGTGATTTGTTTTGTTTTATTTTTCTCCTAACTGCCACAGATACCAATTGATATCACATGAATATTGAGAGAAGTTATGTCCTACCTGAATTGTTTAAGACATTTGTTTTTGCTTCCATGATCAAAATTGCATGATCCATCAGACAGACTCTGGAACAATGATGGTACAGGTTACCTGTACACTTAAAGTTAAGACTTCAATGATAGAAAGTAGGCCAAGAGTTGAAACACAACCCGATACCACAGGAATATACCAAATTGTATTATTAACAAATGTATTCCTCCCCCCCACCCCCCACATCTGTGGAATGGAGAAAACTTCTGTCTGCTTACTTTGGATTTGGTTGGGTACTTGCTCTGAGAAATGGAATGTGGACAACAGTTACCTTGTGTCAGCTCTGAGTGGAGATGTTGAGGGACATCCATATGTCTTCTGGATCTCCTGCAGCCCTGCTGAGATGAGCACAGCCAAGTAGGTGGTCCCAGAAGAAGAACAGCTGAGCCCCACTTAAAACCTGGAGAATGACTGAGATAGCCTACATACAAAGTTATGAAAAAAAAACAATAGTTTTATTGCAGGTATTAAGTTACTTCCAAAAACCCCAAAAAGTTGTCTAATCCATAAGACAATGATAAAGAGGGTTAGAGATAAAGAAATGTCATTGATTATGTACAAAACATTTAAGGGACCATATAGCCGATATTTCTTTGAAGAATACTGAAATGAATGTATGATACTGATGGGGTTCTTACACCAAAATTAAAAAATAAATCTGTATCATAGCAATGAGGGTAAGCATGCTTGATTTTTGTACTTAAGACTAGAAAAATACTGGGAGCACATAAAGATGCAATGGTGTGCAGAAGAAAGACTCCTGGTTACTCATAAGCAGTTAATTGAATAGATTTGGGTGCATTTAATATCAATAATTAACTTTTTTTACATAATGAATTACCACAAATGTAGTGGCTTATAACAGCCCTCATTTCTTATCTCACAATTTCTGTGGATCATGAGTCTGTGCACAGATTAACTTTCCTGAGCTCAGAAATTTACAAGGTTCAGGTCAAGGTGTTGGCCAGAGTATGTTCCCATTTGGAGGTTTCACCATGGAAGGATCCACATCTAAGCTTGCTTAGGTTGTTGGCAGATTTCAGAGGAATGGTGAGAGGAAGGGAGGTAAGGAGAGAGAAAAGGAGAGAGAATGAGAATGAGAGTTTATGTTCCTTAGAACCTTTAACTTCATGGAAGGTCTGGATCCTCTTTAAAAGAGCTCATCTGATTAAGTCAGGCCCACCCAGGATAATCTCCCTTTTAATTACCTCAAAATCAGTGGATTAGGAATTTGAATTACCTTGAAAAATCCTTTCATCTTTACCAAATAATATAATTATGGAAATGATATCCTATCTCTTTTGCCATAGTATATTATTAGAAGTAAGTCACAGTTTCCACAGCATACAAAGCAGGAGGATTATACAATGCTGTGACTCATTGGGGGTCACCGTCAGGTGTCTATTACAGCATTCAATTAACTACCTTGGATTACATTATTACTCTGCAGAGCCCCTCAGTTTTCCCATTGATGAAAACAAGCCAGACAGCGGACAAAGAAAGATATGGTGACTTGAAAGTAGGGATGACTAATGAAGTTCAGACCGGAAGCCCTGTGAGGAGATAGGATGGCTGGGATAAGACAGCTAAAATGTGTTTCTGAAAAGCCACCAAGAAGCCATGACTGATTCACTGTGAGTAAACTGGTTCCTTAATCTCCATCAGAGACACACAGATGTCCAGAGACAGGATCATTCCCAGGTTGGAAATAGGCCCCTCTAATTTGCTAACACTGTGGTGGGGCTGGGCAGGCACCCCAGAGTATCTATCTATTTACACATCAGAGACCCCAGGAAGGATGGGAAGTGTGGTTGGGTTTCAATATTGGCTAGGAGAGACATCTAGTGGCAGCTGGAAACTGGGAGGGTTGTCATCTGGTAAGCACATACCCTTTAGCAAGTGAATGCACAGAGATTCTTAGTGGGGTTGCTGATGGTGTGTTTCTTCTGCAGAGAGTCATTCATCCACCAATTTCCAGTTGTGAGAAAAGATATTTAGAAGATCATAAACAGGCTACATCTGGTAATATTTTCAAAGGCACCTAAGAATATTTATATTCCTCTAAGGAGGTGTGCTATCATTAGAAATAATTGTAACTTCTGGGAGCCACATTGTATTTTGGAGTGTGTGTGTGTGTTTGTGTGTGTTTGTGTGTGTGTGTGTGTGTGTGTGTGTGAGAGAGAGAGAGAGAGAGAGAGAGACAGAGCAAAGACTGACCGGGAGAAGATTATGATATGGTAAAACGTATACAGATAGAAAGAAGGAAGGGAAGGAGGGAGAGAGGGAATTATAATGCTCTGGCCTCTCCACACTCTTCCCAGTCTCTCAAGACAATGCTTTTTGTTTTTGTTTTTTTTGCTAGCTTGATTTTGCCTTCCCCACTCTCTAAGGTCTATAGCTTCCTGCAAAAATGGAATTTAGAATTTTGAGATATCTTTAAAACTGAGCAGAGGAAGGTGGGGCTTGAGAAAAGGGAAAAAAGTGAAAGATAAGAAAACTAAATTGATCTATGTAGTACAAAGCTGAGAGGGTCGGGAGAAGTAGGGATAAAGAGCAGCGATGATGCAGTGAAGGATGGGCTGCAGGGATGAGCAGAGCTTTGAGTGAGGGGCTCTCATTAGCCTGAGGTGAGAGGAGGTTGTGAAGGAAGGAAAAGAGAGGAGTGTTGTTGAGTTTATTTTAATATAATTAAGATTTTCTGACAGATACAAGTTAAATATTGGAATTATTTTAATTATTATTTTGACTGGTTTCATCCTAGCAACTAGTTAAAAGCCCACATGGTGGATGTCCAATTACTATTTCTGAATAAATGAATATTATTAGTTGCCATCCTCAAAGGCCAGGTTGTACCAGTCTAGGCACAGTCAATATGAACCATTTGCAGAACATGATGGTAGCTGATGCCACAGTGAAAACAGAGCCCAATGGTCTGGCAATGCTGCAAATCTAAGGCAGGTATCAGAATTTTCCACTGTGACCTCAACACACCTTTTCAATCAATCCAATTTAACATACAGTTAATGGTGGCTTATCTCATTCAGTTCACTGCAATAGTTCATGTTAGATTACAAAGATGAAAAAAAGGCACAGGAAGCCCTCAAAGTCAAGGTGTTTAAATATAACAGGTGTTTCAAATACATCTGTCCAATAAGACCTGTTCCTTCAAAGATCGAATAATTCCCATCATTTGTTTTGTTTATTGATTTATGCTCCAGTTCTTTTATCTACTTGAAATTTTTTCTTCCCCCCTGTTTACTCTTCTTCATTTCTAAGGCTCATCCCCAAACTTTTCTCATCTGTAAAATTAGCATTTTTGAATCTTAGAAGGTTCTGAGGCTCTTCCTGACTCTCTCCTAAAACTTCCCACGGTGTTCTCTCATCACGAAGTTGTGGCTGATATGAAGCCTTCATGTGCAAGCACTGTGCCTCACGCCACAAGCTCAAGGCTCCAGGCAGTTTAGGTCTCTTTCTGGACTCACCACAGAACGGCCTCTGCTCCTCACTGGCAGCAGCTTTCTTTCTCAGGCTTTTGTACCCGTTCGTGTGCTTGCGTCCTGTTTGCCTATTTGCTTTCCAGACTACAAGCCTTTTGAGGAAAACATACTGTCTTATCTCCCTGGACATTTTAAAGAAACATTCAAATATAAGGGAAGGGAATGCTTTAGTTATTAAATCTGGCAGGAAATCAGTTTGGCAGAGATTTAGCAGTAGTTTGTGTTACTGAAAGTATCTGAAATAGTAAAATTGAATTTCTTTGGAATTCTTCCATTATTTAAAAGTTTTGAAATTCAAGTGAAATGGAGTTTTCCTCAATTACTCCCAATTAGTAATGTTTAGTTTCATGTATAAACTATATAAACATGCATTACCAAAGGATAATAAATTCTGTGGGCTTTTCATTGCTTCCTTGTCATGAGATTTTGTTATAAGAAATACTATGTTTTCCCCCCTCCTAGCCTGAAGGGAAAGACTTGACTGCAAGTTGTTTTATTCAAAAGAATAGCAGCCGTTTGAACTCAGCGGGGAGGAGCAAGTGTTATTATGAACATTCCATTCTCTTACCTTTTCATCCTCTAAGTTAGTGATCTCTCTGTGTTTACATGTTGATTGGTAGAGTTTGAGGCAGTTATATTGGAATTGGATGGGTGTTTGTGGCTCAAGTATTTGAAATATAAAGTAAGTGTTTCATTATTGATTCCCTGCCTACTTCTAAAAATTAAAATAGGACAAGATACAATAAACAAAGGGGGTAAATAAGACTACTAAACAAGGGTAAAGAAGCAAGAATTCGATAATGTCCTAGCATGCCCAGCTAGGAAAGATGGGGATTTAAATACCAGGGAGCTGACACTCTGCCAAGTGAGGTTGTTTAAAGAGCTAAGTAGAAGAAGGCAGGATAATCCACCTGGGATGCTTTCTCCCCCTTTACATTGATAATGTCTGCCATCTCAGCCTAAAAGTTACTTTCTTAGAAGAGACTTTCTTATACCCCCAGACAAAGTCAGGCTTACCTCTTAAATATTCTCCTAGGATTATTTCTCTTTATTTTATAGAAGTCTTTATAGAAATCTACATTGATATGTGTGACTATTGGATTAATATCAGTATGATCCTCTAGAGTATGAGAATGTGCCTGTCTTCTTTATTGTATTTCCATTGTGTTGCCAAGCATCAAGATTGGCAAAAGGAAAAGCAAGATAATTGTTGAATAAATGCTATTGAATGAATGTGGGGAAAAAATAAAGAATGGGGGAGCAGAGATACTTAAAAAGAATCCCATGAGTGAAGCAAAGTCAAGCCAGAAAAAAAAATTAGCAAGGAACAACTCCAATTACAAAAGTGGGATTGAGTATATAAGAAAAGAAAATTAAAGGTCCAAGATGAATAGATTTGAATAGAAGCAAACACAAGGCCTGGTGTGATGGCTCATGCCTGTAATCCTAGCACTTTGGGAGGCCAAGGCAGGTGGATCACCTGAGGTCAGGAGTTCGAGACTAGCCTGGCCAACGTGGTGAAACCCTGTCTCTATGAAAAATACAAAAATTAGCCAGGCGTATTGGTGGGCACCTGTAATCCCAGCAACTCTGGAGGCTGAGGCAGGAGAGTCGCTTGAACCAGGGAAGTGGAGGTTGCAGTGAGCTGAGATTCCATGGAGCTCTGGCTTGCTTGTTTCTAACTCCAGCTTGTTGTACATTGTGGGATTGTTTGGTTCAATGGCTTAAGTCAGCATATACAATACAGTGGGGGTAAAAATCAGAAACAAAGACTATGGGAATCTTGTCTACAACTGAATACAAGATTTACCTGAACATTATTAATAGTCAAGGAAAAGAAGAAAGTATAATGAATTCCAGGGAAAAATATAGTACCAAATTCTAGAGAAATTTACTGTTGATGTATATAGCAGGAAGAGAGGAAACTAAAAAATAGTTATTCTTAGACTGTAGACCCAACAAATCACAACTCAGCCTTCCTCTCTCACTGCAAAAAGCAAAGTGTAGAAATATTGGTTACATCTCATAAAGAATGGCTGTTAATGCCTCAGGAGAGAAAATGCTTATGTTGCAGGGAGAATTCATAGAAAAGTCCTTATAATCAAGTCATTAAAGTGATGTTATAATTAACCATTTTATATATATATATACACACACACACACACACACACACATATATATATGCCAGGACATTGAAGCAAAGACTGGCTGCTGTCCATTTACAAAAGGGACTGAGTGCCCTACAGTGAACTGAAAGGATGAGAGTCAAGATACACAAATTTCATCCAAAGACAATGGACCATTTTGGGGGGAAGGAGCCAGACTAAGAACTTCGAGGTGTACAGCTCCTTTATTCTTTCCATACAAATGCTCCATGGATGAATGTCAAGAATCCTCACAGAATTGAGTTGCCCTATAGAGGGAGCCACTTTGATGTCTTCTGGGCCTTCATCTGAAAGAGACAGGGTTTCAATGCCTGGCTCTGCAAGCCCATTTTATTGAAGATGACACATGTCTAAATGGATGTGACACGTATCTGTGGAAGAATTTAAAAGGAGCTGTGACCTACAGTTCCATGAGAATTAGTAGGGGCTCACTTTGTAATGGTTATTGTGACTTTATTTCTGCCCCTGCCTAAAGGTTAACTTACCTATAATTGTCAAATATTTTCTTTTCTGAAACTATTATTTTAATGACATGTTATCTTCATACTACATGCCAAAGGGCATATGTGCTATCTACAGGCATTATGATAGTTGCTCTTCTCAACGATCATATGGAAAAAGCATTATTATTCTCTTGTACAGATGAGAATCTTAAATTTACAGACACGCTATTGCTTTATCCACAACTTCACACTTAATGTGACACAGAGCTGGGATTCAAGCTCACGTCTTTGTTTGAAGTTATTTCCAACAGACCATTCTGGCTCTCCCAGACATGCATTTATATTCAAGACAAACCAAAACATAACATTTGGCTTACACTGAATCATTTATCTTTGTCTTTTGGCACTGTGATTATGTAGCATTTATAAACTCTCTGTCCAGTCAGGCAAAAACTTGCACTTCTGTGCTTTGATTTAGTGCACTGGGTCCCACTATCAAAGTTACTAGGCTTGCAAATGGTCATAATCTGAGTCTAGATTTCTAGGTTTATGCTTCTAAATCACTTGGCAGAGAAAACAGTTAGTGTTAGAAAAGGAATCAGAGGTAAGATGGGCTGAACAGCCATCACACATCAATGAGAAATGAAGTGGTTTGATTTTAGTGTGGATTGTAAACAAAACACACACACACATGCACACACACACAGAAGATTAAGCTAGGATGTAACTGATTTAAATAGGTATCCTCCAGGAAAACATTAAACGTCATAATGGCCGTTATATAAAAGTTGAAAATTTTTGACACAGTGTAACTTACTCTTTTGGTAAAGTAATGTTTAGAAATAAAATAATTTATAGCCAGCCGTAATGGCATGCACCTGTAGTCCCGCTACTCAGGAGGCCGAGACAGGATAATTGCTTGAACCTGGGAGGCGGAGGATGCAGTGAGCCAAGATGGTGCCACTGCACTCCAGTCTGGGTGACAGAGTGAGACTCTGTCTCCAAAAAAAGAAATAAAATAATTTAACTACAATTTCAGTTTTCAAAAACATATGACTACAAAGTATAATGCAGTCTTCAAATCTTCCATAGGCAGAATCCAATTTAAACTATAAAAATCACATTTTTGATCAGAGGAAAATCTTTGATTTCTTTTTGTTTTCCATATGGCTCAAGGGTATATTTAATAAGAATTTGCTTTATACCTCAGATTTTTCTATAGTGCTACATGAATACAATGCTTGTGGATGAATTGCATATATCATACATAATCTTCACTTAGGAAATAGTCTGTCTCCTGAGACCTCTAAATCCCTAAGAATTTGAAGGCAAGTTGTGTCCCATTGAAGTCTGTTTGTTTTGTATCATGTTAAGTCATATTTGATTTACATTGAAATTTTCACCTGGAACTTGGACATTTGTAGAGATAAAGTAGGCATATTTAGAGTTTTTATTCCTTTATCTTTCAACGGACCTATTTTAAAGGGTAACAATAATACCAAATGTAAATAAACATAAGCAAAACGTTAATTTGGCACTTTTTGTTTATATAGGCATTTGTCTTTTCTGTGAGCCACAAACATGCGTATCCAATGGGCCTTTCCCACTCAATATTCTCCAAACCAAATTCATAAACTCATCACCATCCAGCACCTGTATTCTCAGAGATGGCACCATCATATATTCAGTACATCAAATCAGAATTCTAGTAGTCATACTTAATGTCTTTCTTCCCCTTATCCTTGATATCCAGCTTATTGTCCTTGGAACCCAATTTGTCCTTGAACTATAAAAATCTTCTCTGATGTTGCAGGAGAAGAGGAAGCAAAGACAGGGAGAAGACCTTGACTCCCTCCCTAAGAGTTGCCTTCTGTGGTTAATGCTTACTACATTTACCTAACAAAGCATGAATACACTTTATGCACATTTGAAATAATACTATATAAAATGGTAATACAATCTTAATTTATGCACAAAATGTGAAGTAATGTGAATCTAATAAAATTAACAATTCACTAAGAATTGCATAATTACAAACCTGAAAAATTGAGTGAACTGTAAGTTGTATTTATCCCACTGCAACATGGCAGGGCCATTTTAGTTGCTAAAGAAATCTACCTATGATCTTTACCTCATTTATTGTTAAATTATGTGATTTTTAATTAATAGGAAGGCAGGAAAGCATTTTTCCCTTAAAATGTGGCAGCATTGTAATTGTGTATTTGTGAGAAAGACCTTTTTTTCAGCTAACATGAAAATCTTCAATGGCATTTTTTTATTTGGTAGTAAAGCCTTCTGGTAAAATTTTGTTCCATCTTTAAGTCTTCTTTATGAGCCAAATCTTTAACATGAAAACAAAACAAACAAACAAAAAAACAACAGGGAGAAGGACAGGGAAGAAACAGGGAAAATTATATGATGCAACACAGCTTGTAATTCCCTGCACATTTGTTACTTGGGAATTTATTTGAACTAGGCTTTCTTGAGCATTTAAAACGGCATTTTGGTGTTGTTTCTGGCTGAGTTAAAATTTATTCTTAGCATTTAGTTGCTGCAGTTTCACACAATGGGGATCTGGCAATCAGGTACTCTTAACAGGCTTATTATTGGGAGTTTTAATCAGATTTTGAATGTTAAAGCAACCTCAATTTGGCTTTACAGGGTATCTGAGAAAAATGTACTTATTTCCACTCCCTAGTTCCTATAACGATGCTTTTTTATTTTTATTTTTTGTAATTGATGCTGTATGGTCAGATATTCAATTTGCATATGGGTTGCATCCGTTGAATCTCATTATGAATTGATCAAGTTTGGCTTCATAGATATCTTCACAAATGTAGAAAGCCAATTGTGTCCCTCATCTCTCATACAATAATTATCTGGTTGTCAGATCATTCTACCTTTTCTTTCATTTTCCAAGAGGAACTCACAGACCTTGTAATAAATTCTCTCAGAACCACCTCGTCCACTCCTTGGGCTCTGGTGGCCTATCTGAACTGCACTTAGCGTTATCTATGTTCCACCTAAATCTGTAAGTCTGTCTTATGATCTCTCATGGAAGGCATCACTCACCTTCTATATTTTGGTCCTTAATGCTCTTTATATCTTTTCATTGTTCATAGCTGAGAAGTGGGGAAAAGATAACTACACCGGGTTGCATAATATGCAGATAATTCTAATTAAACCATCAACTTCCTTTTTGGAAATATAAAGTTTTTCTGAAAATGAAAGGAAGTTATAATACATACTTTAAAAAATGCAAATTTCAAAAACCAGGGAATGGAATTGTTTGTGACATCAAAATAGCAAAAACAGTATCAACTAATTAGCTCCATTTCATATGCTATAAAGAATATTAAATTAGGTAGCTTTTCTCCAGTAATGATTACAACATGTCAGTAACTCTTTGAATCCCTTAGTATTATTATTTCATTAATATTGACATTAACCATATAAAATAAAAATTATAATTATTTCAACCACCCTACAGTCAAGGTGGTTGAAACAGAGAGATTTTAATAAATCATCATGAAGCTGCAGGTAGTGGAGCCAGGGTCTTCCATCAAAGCCGTATGGCTCCAGAATCATCTGTTAAGCTGATTCCCTGCAAGTGGCAAATAAATATATTAGTACTAGTCCAGGTTGTATGATCTTTGAGAAAATCCTCATGTGCCCTGTGTCCATGTGTTCTCATTGTTCAATTCCCACCTATGAGTGAGAACATGCGGTGTTTGGTTTTCTGTCCTTGCGATAGTTTGCTCGGGGAACATCATACACCGGGGCCTGTCATGGGGTGGGGGAATGGAGAAGGGATAGCATTAGGAGAAATACCTAATGCAAATGATGAATTAATGGGTGCAGCAAACCAACACAGCACATGTATACATATGTAACAAACCTGCAGGTTGTGCACAGGTACCCTAGAACTTAAAGTATAATAATTAAAAAAAATCCTCATGTGCTCTCTCAGTCCACGTTAGCTTTCATATCTTCAAAATGTAAAAGTTCTTTGAAGCTTTAATTCTTCCCTTTTTCCACAATGTTCCTTTTTCTAACACATTCTTTTTCCTGTTTCTTCACACTAAACCATTACTATCATAGGTCAGATAACCTAGAAGATCTGAGTGCACACCAACAGACAACTAGTTAGGGAGAGAAAGAAGCTGAGAGAAAAAAGGGAAGATCCTAGCAAGGCTGTATCACACAGAGAAAAAGGATTTAGTCAAACTGGTAGGGGAAATGGGAGTGTGACACTGGTCTAGAATTTGTTCCAACCCTAAACAAGGGGAGCTGAGCTTTCATGGTTTCACTCTGGTCAGTTAAGTATAAGGGCGCCTCTGGTAGGAATGTAAACTCCTGGATAATTCAGGTTTTCTGCATGTCCAGCCAAGAAGGCTCTGACTGACTGAGGGTGGTTTCCAAGGAGGAGTGGCAATGAATGACAAAGAAAGCACACAGAAACCAGGGGAAGATCCCACAGAAATGCTAAGAGAGTTTCCAGGGAATTCCGACAGAGAACCAGCAGTGTCTGCCATGATTACCTAATATCTATTTAAGAACAAAATTCTAAATATTTACTAATAATTTTGATTTACTAAAATTCTAAATGTTTATTAAGTAGAAAAATTATAAATATATTTGAAATTAAGCTATACTTTTGCAATGCTTTTCATCATTAATATGGAAAATGGAAAGAAATACAAATAAGATAGGTACAATCAATTGACAAAAGAGGAAATATAATTAGTAAACATATAGATAGAAAGGTGATTAGGTCAAAATTATCAGAGAAACTCAAATGAAAAGAAATGCTACTTTTTATCTATTGCATTTGTAAAAACAAAAAGAGAGAATGAGAGAGAAAGAAATAAAGGAAGGAAAGAAAAAAAAGAAAATGTCCACTGTTCATATAACAATGTGGTGAATGGAACAATATTTTCCATTCTTGGGAATCTAGTGTAAGAAATACTTTTTTAAAAGTTTCATATAAGAATATGCTATGAAGAAATTGGGACTTGCTTTTATTATAGACCTATGGGACTGTGATTCATGATTAACCACTGTTTGTCAAATTACTTGTTTAAAAATAAATTAATAAGAAAAATGCTCAGGGGGAAAAAAAGGGGAAGGAAAGACAAAAAAGAATCCATATATGTCTACAGCAATAGTGGTGGTTTTTTTCTTTCTTTCTTTTTTTTTTTTTTAAGCCTATGCTTAGCCTGTTTCTGTGCCAGGAAGCAGTTCAGCTTCACTGCTCTGTTCACACCCTGTGCCTAAAGCCCTGTCTCTCGGTCTGCTTAGCTTAACTGCTATCCGACTTCTCGTTAAGCTCCTGCCTTCTGGAACTCTTCAGTCACATTAGCTTTCAGTTTCAGGTTCACAAATATAGAGTACCTATGTGCCAGTGTGATAAATCCATTAAGGGGAAGGTGGGAAAGAATTTGTTTAAAATCACAACCAAATACAGCCGCTTCTAACTCTTAAAGAGACCCAAAGAGTTTTCTCCTGCAATAGTGCATTTTTTTAAAATATGAAAACATGTGGATGGGTCACTAGGTTGTGGATAAGTGGCTAAGAAAACTGAGAAAAGGAAAAGAATAGACTTGCCCTAAATAATGAAGCAAGAAGAGTGTGGATTTTCCACGAGCAACCCAGTAAGAGTGGAAGAGAGCTCCCACTTAGAGTGGGTGGAACAACATGACAAGCGGGAACTGCAGAGAAATCGGGAGAGAGAAATGCCCTGTAGAGGCGATGGCTTACAGACTTTCAAGAACAGATATATCTAAAAGTTTGTTTCAAAGTTATCTGCCTTTATTAAGTGCTGTGATGTATTTTCTTCCATTACCTTCAAACCATCTGTAAAGAGACCTACGCTTACAGCCTGGAGAGGATATTTTGGAGGTAACATTCTTCTTGCTTGTGAGCATGTCAAGTAGAGCCACAGGGCTCCATGCACAGAAGACAGCAGCGTCAGCTTAAGGTCTAGTGTGCTGCTGAGCCCTCCATAAACATGACACAAACCTTTTTGCCCATATTGACTAAAAGGAAGTTATCCTTACAAATGGGAGAGGTGGGAAAAGTTATGTTACAGGAAAGTTGCATAATTTAGTCCTAGTGGGAACGTATGTAGTTGGTACCACCTCTGCTAAAAAATAAAAATAAAGTAGATATCAGGTTTTCTATGTTTACCATATTTGTAGGATTCCTTCCTGGTAGCCTCACCATTGTTTCTCAAATGTAAAATGCAGGCGAATTATATGAGGTGGTGAGCAGGTTGTTGAATTGAAGATTCTGATTTATTGGAGTAGGGCAGGACCTGAGATTTTCTACTTTACAAAAGCTCCCAGGGGAATTTTTCAGGTATGAATGAGATAATACATATATAAAGTGTCTATATGTAACAGGTATTTAACAAACAATATTATTCATATTTTTAAAAACAATCTACATTCAGGTAAGGATGTTTGGCCTTATAATATTCCTTTTTCTTCGGAAGACACTTCAATTCCATAACTATTCAACAATTTTTTCTACATACATATAATTGGATAACCATCGATACTATGTATTTCTAGAATATTTCCAACAAGCAATAAGAAACACTATACCCATTAGGAATCACTCCCCATTCTTCCCTTACCCCAGTCCCTGGAAACTATTAACCTGCATTCTATCTCTGTGAATTTGCCTTTTCTGGTCATTTCATATAAATGGAATTTTTAAATATATACTCTTTTAAGCCTGGCTTTTTCTCACTTAGTATCAAGTTTTCAAGGTTCATCTACAATGCAATATTTATCAGTATTCCATTCCTTTTTATGACTGAACAATATTGCATTATATGAATATTCCATATTTTGTGTATTCATAATTTGATTGGTATTTTGATTTTCTCTATTTTTCAGCCATTATTAACAATGCCACTGTAAACATCTATGTAAGGCCTGGTGCAGTGGCTCATGCCTGTAATCCCAGCACTTTGGGAGGCCGAGGCAGGTGGATCACGAGGCCAGGAGATCGAGACCATCCTGGCTAACACGGTGAAACCCCATCTCTACTAAAAATACAAAATATCAGCTGGGTGTGGTGGCACGTGCCTGTAGCCCCAGCTACTTGGGAGGCTGAGGCAGGACAATTGCTTGAACCCGGGAGGCAGAGGTTTCAGTGAGCCGAGATGGTGCCACTGCACTCCAGCCTGGGTGACAGAACGAGACTCCGTCTCAAAAAAAAAAAAAAAATCTAAATCTATGTAAAAGTTTTTGTGTGCGTATGTGTTTTCATTTATCTTGGATGTATACCTATGACCGGAACCACTAGATCACAAGTTAATTCCATGTTTAACGTTCTGTGGAGCTGCCAAACTGTTTTCCAAAGCAGGTGCACAATTTAACCTTGCTACCAACAATATATGAGGGTTCCAATGTCTTCAAATCCTTGCCAACACTTATTATTGCCTTTTTAAAACTTACAGTCATCCTGGTGTGTATGAAATGATATCTCATTGTAGTTATGATTTGAATTTCCCTAGTGACCATTGAGCATCTTTTCATGTTCTTGTTGGCCACTTGTATAACCCCCATATATGTAAGGGATTCTTTAGGAGAAATGTCTATTGAAATTCCCTGCCAATTTTATAAATGGGTGGTTTGTTTTTTTATTGTTGTGTTGTAAGAGTTCTGAATACTGTACTTTTTCCTACACTTTTATCAGCTCTATGTTTTTTAAATATTTTTCTGCCATTCAGCAATGGGTTTTTTGTTTGTTTGTTTGTTACTTTCTTCATAGTGTCCTTTAAAACACATGTGGGCATGTCTAGTAAAGCCGTAGAAACTCCATGTGTAGAAGAGAGCAACATCAATTTAAGGTCCACTGTGCTGCTGGACCTTATATTATTATATGCATTACATTGTAATGAAGTGCGATTTATCTGCTTTTTCTTTGTTGTTTGTTCTTTAGTTGCCATATCAAATAAACCATTGCCTAATTTAAGGTAACAAAGATTTACACATATGTTTTCTTATATAGTTTAATAGCTTTATCTCTTATGTTTAGATCCTTGATCCATTTTGAGTTCCCTTTTGTATATGGTACAATGTCTATCATCCACTTCATCTTTTGGCATGTGGTTAATCAAGTTTTCCTAACACCATTTGTTGAAAAGACTATTCTGGCCTCATTGAATAGTCTTGGCATCTTGTGGAAAACCAACTGCTGTAAATTTTGGATATATTTCTGGTCTCTTAATTGTATTCCATTGATTCATGTCTATCCTTATGCTAAATGACAGACAGTCATGATTAATACAGCTTTGTGGTAAATTTTGAAATCAAGGAGTGTGAGTCCTCCAAATTTGTTCTTTCTCAGGATTGTTTTGGCTTTTCTATATCCCTAGAATTTCCAAGTGAATTTTAAGATTAGTTTGTCACTTTCTGGGTGAAAAAGGGAGCTTCTATTTAGATAGAGATTGCATTGAATCTGTCCATTAGTTTGTCATTTAAACAATATTAATTATTTCAACTCATCAGGACTGGGTGTCTTCTCTAATTGCTTTCAATGATTCTGTAGTTTTCAGTGTATTAATCTTATATTTCTAGTGTAAAATTTATTTCTAAATATTTTATTGTTTAATGATTTTGTAAATGAAATTTTCTTAATATTCTTTCAAATTTTTCATTGCAAGTGGTATAGAAAGAAAACCGATTTTGTATATTAATTTTATATCCTGCAAGTTTATAAACTATGTTAAACTAGTTTATTTGCTCTAACTTTTATGTTGTTTAGTTTTGTTTCATTTTTTGGATTATTTATGATTTTTATATGCAAAATCAGATGATCTACACATAGCAATAGTTTTACTTCCTCCTTACTAATTTAGGTGCCTTTTATTATATTTTCTTGCCTAATTGTTCTGACTAGGCTATCCAGTACAATGTTGATTAGACATTAAGTTAGAGCAGACATTCTTGTCTTATTCCTGATTTTCAGAGGGAGGCTTTAAGTCTTTCACTATGACGTATGATATCAGCTGTGGTTTTTTCCTAGATGCCCATTATCAGGATGAAAAATTTATCTTCCATTGCTAGTTTGTTGAGCGTTTTTTGTTTTTATCATGAAAAGGTTTTGAATTTTTTCAATGTTTTTCCTGCATTTATTGAGATAACCATGTGGTTCTCATCTTTTATTCTGTTAATACAATGCATTACATTGACTGATTTTTGGATATAAAACCAATCTTCCATTCCTGAGATTAATTCACTTGAACATAGTATACAATCCTTTTTACATGTTACTGAATTTGATTTGCTAATACTTTGTTGAGGATTTTTGCATCTACATTCATAAGGGGTGTTGGTATGTAGTTTTATTTTCTTGTGATGAATCAGGATGATACTAACTTCATAAATGAGTTAAGAATTATTCCCTCCTTTATTTATTTTTCAAGAGTTTATGAAGAACTTGTGCTAATACGTCTTTAAATATTTGGTAGACTAAAAGAGAGAAGCTGTCTACTTCTGGACTTTGTGTTGTGGGAAATTTTTTGACTGACAATTCAACTTCTTTACTTGTTATAGGTCTACTCAAATTTTCAATTTCTTCTTAAGTCAGATTCAATAGTTTTTGTCTTCCTAGGAATCTGTTTGTTTAATCAAGATTATCTAATTTGTTATCACAAATCGTTCATAGTATTCCCCTAAATTTTTTCTGTCTGCCTATTATCTATCTATCTATCTATCTATCTGTCTATCATCTTGTATTAAGGTTCCTTTTTTATTCATTATTTTAATAAGTTGAGTACTCTCTTCATCTTCATCAGAATAGATAAAGCTTTATCAATTTTGTTGATCTTTTCAAAGAATAAGTTGTTTCATTAATTTTGTATTTTGTTTCTATCTTCTATTTCATTAATTTCCACTCTATTTCTTATTATATCATCCTTCTGCTTGTGTGGGGGATTTATGTGCACTTGACAAGAATATGTATTCTTTTCTTCTTAGTGGAGTGTCGTATATAGACTTATCTAAAAGATATTGCTGCTTTGATTCCAGACCACCACAACAAAGTGAAATATTTCAATAAGCAAGCCACATGAATTTTTTTAGTTTCCTAATGCGTATAAAAGTTATGTTTATACTAGACTATAGTCTACTAAATGTGCAATAGCATTATGTCTAAAATATAATGTGTGCACCATAATTTAAAAATATTGCATTGGAAAAAAATGCTAATGATCATCTGAGCCTTCAGCTATTCATAATCTTTTTGCTGGTGAAGGGTCTTGTTCCAATTTTGATGGCTGTTGACTGATCAGAGTGGTGCTTGCTGAAGGCTGGGATGGGTTTGGCAATCTCTTAAAATACGACAAAATTTGCCACATCATCAACTCTTCATTTCACAAAAAATTTCTCTACCATGTGATGCTGTTTGACAACATTGACCTACAGTATAAAGTCTTCCAATATTGGAGTCACTTCTCTCAAACCCTGATACCATTTATCAATTAAGTTTATGTAATACGCTAAATCCTTTGTTGTCATTTCAACATTGTTTGCTGCATCTTCACCAGGAGTAGATTCCATTCCAAAAAACCACTTTCTTTGCTCATTCATAAGAAGAAACTTCTCGTCCATTCAAGTTTTATTGTAAGAGTGCAGCAATTCAGGCTCCACTTGTAATTCTAGTTCTCTTGCTCTTTTTACTACATCTGCAGTTGCTTCCTCCACTGAAATCTTGAGCCTTTCAAAGTCATCCATGAGAGCTGGAATCAACTTTTTCCAAACTCCTGTTAATGTTTATATTTTGACCTCCTCCCATTAATCATGGATTCTCTGAATGGTATCTGGACTGGTGAATCCTTTCCAGAAGATTTTTAATTTATTTATCTCAGGTTCATCAGAGGAATCACTATCTATGGCAGCTGTAGCCTCATGAAATGTATTTCTTAAATAATAAGACTTGAAAGTTAAATTTACACCCTGGCTGACAGCAGAATGAATATTGTGTTAGCAGGCATTAAAAACAGCAATAATTTCCTTGTACATTTCCATCAGAGTTCTTTGGTAACAAGGTCAATGAGCAGTAATATTTTGAAAGGAGTCTTTTTTTTTCTCAGCAGTAGGTCTCAACAGTGGACTTAAAATATTCAGTAAACCACACTGTCAGCAAACTTACTGTCATCCAGTCTCTGTTGTTTTATTTATAGAGCACAGGAAGAGTAGATTTAGCATAATTCTTGAGGGCCCTAGGATTTTCAGAATGGTAAATGAGCGTTGGCTTCAACTGAAAGGCACCAGCTGCATTAGCCCCTAACAAGACAGTCAACCTGTCTTTGAAGCTTTGAAGCTAGGCATTGGCTTTTCCTCTCTAGCTGTGCAAGTCTTGGATTACATCTCTTTCAATAAAAGGCTGTTTCATCTACATTGAAAATCTGTTATTTAGTGTAGCCACTTTCATCAATGATCTTAGCTATATCTTTTGGATAACTTGTTGTAGCTTCTAAGTAAGCACTTGCTGCTTCACCTTGCACTTTTATGTTATGGAGACAACTTCATTCCATAAACCTCATGAACCAAACTCTGTGAGTGGTTACTCTAAATTAGCCCTTGGCTTAAGAGGACGTTGTAGGAAGTTTGATCTTCTATCCAGACCTCTAAAACTTTCTTTGTATCATCATTAAAGCTGTTTCACTTTCTTATTATTTGTGTGTTCACTGGAGGAGCACCTTTAATTTCCTTTAAAAACTTTCTCTTTGCATTCACAACTTGGCCTCTTTGGCACAAGAAGCCTAGTTTTCAGCCTGCCTGGGCTTTTTATATGCCTTTCCCAGCCAGCTTAATTATTTCTCATTTTTTCTTTTCTTTTCTTTTTTTTTTTTTTTTTTTGAGATGGACTTTCACTCTTGTTGCCCACATTGGAGTGCAATGGAGCAATCTCAGCTCACTGCAACCTCCACCTCCTGGGTTCAAGCAATTCTCCTGCCTCAGCCTCCTCAGTAGCTGAGATTACAGGCATGTACCACCATACCCGGCTAATTTTTTGTATTTAGTAGAGACAGGGTTTTACCATGTTAGTCAGGTTCGTCTCAAACTCCTGACCTCAAGTGATCCACCTGCCTCGGCCTCCTAAAGCGTTGGGATTACAGGCATGAGCCACTGTGCCCGGCCTCCAGCTTTTGATTTAAAGTGAGAGAGGTACCACTTTTCCTTATCCTTGAATACCTAGAGGCCATTATAAGGTTGTTCATTGACATACTTTCTATTTTGTTGTGTCTCAGGAAAGAGAGAGGGCCAAGGAAAGGAAAGACATGGTGGAATGACCAGTTGGTAGAGTGGTAAGAACACACCCAACATTATTGATTAAATTCATTGTTTTATCTAGGTGTAGCTCATCGTGTCCCAGAACAAATGCTACAGTAACATCAAAGATATCTGGTCACAGATCACTGTAACAGACATAACAATAATAATTTTAAAAGTTTGAAATAGTGTGAGAATTACCAAAATGCAACAGAGACATGAAAAGAGCACATGTTGTTGGAAAAATAGTGCTAATAGATTTGCTCCATGCAGTATTGCCACGAACCTTCAATTTGAAACAGATGCAATATCTGAGAACCACAATTAAGCTAACTGCAAAAAATTAGGCATGTCTGCATATGTCTATTAGGCCTAGTTTGTTTTATTGTTCTTCAAGTCTCATATTTCTTTATTACTATCAAGTTCCTTTATTTATGATTAAAATTGGAGTATTGGAGTCTGCAAGTACTATTGCTCAATTGTCTGTTTCTCTTTTCAATTCTGAGTTTTTGCTTCATATATTTTTGAAATGCCGTTGTTAGGTGAATAATTATTTATAATTGTTATAAATTCGTGATAAATTGGTCCTGTCTTCATCTTACAGTGCTCTTTTTTTCTAGTAACAATTTCTGTCTTAATGTCTATTTTGTCTGGTATTAGTATAGTTATTCCAGCTCTCTTTAGGTTTGCATGGCATTTCTTTTTGCATTCCTTTACTTTCAGTCTATTTGGGTCTTTGAATCTAAAGTGTGTCTCTTATAGAGAGGATATATTTTGAAATTTTAAAAAAGCCATTCAACCAATTTCCACCTTCAGTGATTGATCCATTTACATTTAATGTAATTACTGACAAGATTTTCATCTGTCATATTGTTGTTTTCTATGTGTCTTCTTTCTTTTTTGTCTCTCTTTCTCCATTACTGCCTTCTTTTGTGTTATTTTATAGCACACCATTTTAATTTTCCTGTTTCTTTTCACTATATATATATATATATATATATTTTTTTTTAGAGGGTGTTTCTTTTTTTTTTTTTTTTTTTAATTTTTTTTTTTGTTATTATACTCTAAGTTTTAGGGTACATGTGCACATTGTGCAGGTTAGTTACATATGTATACATGTGCCATGCTGGTGCGCTGCACCCACTAACGTGTCATCTAGCATTAGGTATATCTCCCAATGCTATCCCTCCCCCCTCCCCCGACCCCACCACAGTCCCCAGAGTGTGATATTCCCCTTCCTGTGTCCATGTGATCTCATTGTTCAATTCCCACCTATGAGTGAGAATATGTGGTGTTTGGTTTTTTGTTCTTGCGATAGTTTACTGAGAATGATGGTTTCCAATTTCATCCACTATATATATTTTTGTGTTATATTCTTTTTTTTTTTTTTTTTGAGATGGAGTCTCGCTGTCTCCCAGGCTGGAGGGCAGTAGTGGGATCTCCGCTCACTGCAAGCTATGCCTCCTGGGTTCATGCCATTCTCCTGCCTCAGCCTCCCTAGTAGCTGGGACTACAGGCACCCGCCACCACGCCTGGCTAATTTTTTGTATTTTTAGTGGAGACGGGGTTTCACCATGTTAGCCAGGATGGTCTCTATCTCTTGACCTAGTGATCCGCCCCCCTGCCTCCCAAAGTGCTGGGATTACAGGTGTGAGCCACCATGCCCAGCCTTGTGTTTTATTCTTAAGGGTTGCTCTGGGGTTTGTAATTAACATCTTAATTTATAACAACCTAGTCTTTATTAATACCAATGTAATTTCAACAGTATAAAAACCTTTCCTCCACTTTCCTTCCATGGAGCTCTGTTACATCCCCACTGCTTTATGCTGTTATTGTTATATAAAAGGCATCTTTATACCTTATATGCCTATCAATGCAGATTTATAATTGTTGCTTTATGTAGTTTTAAAAATGAGATTAAAAAATGTTATAAGCAAAAATTACCTACCTGTGTAGTTACCATTTTCTTTTCTTTTCTTTTTTAGACAGGGTCTCACTCTGTCACCCAGGCTAGAGTATAGTGGCATGGTCAGGGCTTACTGCAGGCTTCACCTCCCCAGGCTCAGTTGATCCTCCCACCTCAGCTTTCCAAGTAGCTCAGACTACAGGCATGCACCACCATGCCTGGCTAAATATTTGGAATTTTTTTTTTTTGTAGAGATGGGGTTTCACCATGCTGCCCAGGCTGGTCTCAAACTCCTGGGCTCAAGTAATCTGTCTGGTTCAGCCTCCCAAAGTGCTGGGATTACAGGTATGAGACATCATGCCCAGCCACCTGTGTAGTTATTGTTACCAGTGTTTTTAATTCATGTGCATTTAAGTTATTGTCTAGGGTCTCTTCATTTCAGCCTGAAGGACACTCTTTAGTATTTCCAGGTAAAGTGTGCAATTCAATGCTCTTTATTTTATTTACAGAGTTACACGAACATCTCCACAATCAATTTTAAACCACTTCATCACCCCCAAAAGAAGCTGTGTACTATTTAGTTATTACCACAAATTTTCTCATTTTAATTTGTCATTTGACATACGATACTTTTAATGTAAAATTTCCTATAGTCGAATATTTTGGTATTTTCTTTTTTTCCCAGCATACAATACAGCATAAATAACTAAAGTCATCATGCTGCACAGGAGAATCTCAGGACTTATTAATCTTATAATGTAAAGTTTGTACCCTTTGACCAATATCCCTGGCAACCGTGATTCTAATTGCTGGTTCTAGGAGTTCAACTTCTTTAGATTCCACTTATAAGTGAGATCACACACTATTTTTTTTTCTGTGTGTGTCTTAGTTTCACTTAGCATAATGTCCTCCAGGTTCATTCATGTTATTGAAAATGGCAAGATTTCCTTCTTTCTTCTTTTATATGACTGAATATAAATTTTATATATGTGGAATGAAATTCCATCATATGTATAATGTTTATCCATTCACCCAATGGTTGACACTTAGCTTGATTCTTATCTTGGCCATTGTGAAAAATGCTGCGTTGAACACAGGTGTGCAGATATCTCTTCAAGATAATTATTTTATTTCTTTTGGATTTATATCCGGAAGTAAGATTACTGAATCATAGAGTAGTTCTTTTTTTTAATATTTTAAAGAACCTTTATATTGTTTTCCAAAATGTCTGTATTAACTTACATTTTCACTAATAGTGTACAAGGATTTACTTTTCTTCAAACTGTTGCCAACACCTATCTTTCATTTTTTAAAATGATACTCATTCAAACAGGTGTGAGATGATACTTCATTGTGGTTTTAATTTGCATTCTCTTGGTGATTCATGATGTTGAGCATTTTTTCTTACACCTGTTAAGCATTTATATGTCTTTTGTTGAGAAATAGCTATTTAGATCCTTTGCCCATTTTTAATCTGGTCGTTTGTTTTCTTAATGTTGAGTTTTTGAGTTCCTTATATATTTTGAATATTGACTCCTTATCAGGTGTATGATATGCAAATATTTTCTCCCACTCTGTAGATTGTGCTTGTACTCTGTTGACTGTTTCCTTTGCTTTGCAAAGCTTCTTAGTTTGGTGTAATCTCATTTATTAATTTCACCTTCTGTTGCCTTTGCTGTTTGTGTTATAATCAAGAAATCATTGCCAAAACTAATGTCAGTTAACTTTCACCCTTTATTTTCTTCTAGGAGTCTTACAGCTCAGGTCTTACATCTCATTTTGACTTGTCTTTTCTGTGTGATATAAGACAATAATTGAATTTTATTCTTTTGCATGCAGATATCCAGTTTTCTCAACACCATTTACTGAGAGCCTATTCTTTCCTTTTTGTGTATGCATTGTGCCCTTGTCAAAGACTAGTTGGCCATATATGCAGGGGTTTGTTTCTGAGCTCTTTTTTATAATTCATTATTATTATTTTTTGAGATGGAGTCTTGCTGTGTCACCAGGCTGGAGTGCAGTGGCACAATCTCGCCTCACTGCAACCTCCACCTCCCGAGTTCAAGTGATTCTCCTGCCTCAGCCTCCCAAGTAGCTGGGACTACAGGCCCCCGCCACCACGCCTGGCTAATTTTTGTATTTTTTAGTGGAGAAAGTGTTTCACCATGTTGGCCAGGATGGTCTCAATCTCTTGACTTTGTGATCCACCCGCCTCGGCCTCCCAAAGTGCTGGGATTACAGGTGTGAGCCACCGTGCCTGGGCCTCTGAGCTCTTTATTTTGTTTCACTGGTCTATGTGTCTGCTTGTATGTCATTACCACTTGTTTTGATTATTATAACTTTGTGATATAATTTGAAATCAGAGGTGGCACTGTTTCTCAATTGTAGCTAGAAACACAGTCAGTGAGTCTGTAACCTGGGCATGGGCTCACCTTCATAAAATGGCTTTTCTTGGTCTTGGTCTCCACCAGGGTTTCACAATCTTCTACCTGGATCCCTGAGCTTGCACAAAAGCATTCATCCATGGATGGCTGCCAAATTATTGTTGCTGTGTGAGATATGTGTGTAAAACCTCCTATCCCACCATGTTATTTAATGTCAGCCTCCTTCATTTTTAAGGGATAATTTTACTGGATTTAAAATTCTCTGTTTAAAGTCTTTTTTTCTTTTAGCTCTTTGACTATGACATCCCACTGCCATCTGGCCTTAATGACCTTTATTACCTTAATGAAAAATCAGCTGTTAATTTTATTAAGGCTTACTTATAAATGATACTTTGTTTCTTTCATCCTCCTTTCAAGATTCTCTCTTTGTCTTCTGTCAATTTGATTATAATGTATTTAGTTGTGGATCCTTTTGAGTTTTTCCTATTTGTAGGCTGTTGAGCATCTTGGGTTTGTAGATGTTTTTCATTAAATTTGGAATTTTTTGGCCATTATTTATGCAAATATTCTTTCTGCCTTCTTTTATTCTTTTTCTTCTCCTTCTGGGAATCCCACAATTCCATTATGCCAATTTTAGTATGCTTCCTGTTGTCTCAAAGTCTCAGAGACTCTATTAATTTTTCTTCTTTCTTTTTTTCTCTTCTTCCGACTGGATAGTTTCAACTGATCTATCCTGAAGTTTGCTGACTTTTTTCCTTCTGCCTGCTCAAATTTCTGTTAAGCCCTTATAGTGATTTTTTTTTGTTTTAGTTTTTGTACTTTTAATCTCAAGAATTTTTATTTGGTTCTTTTTTTTATCATTTATACTTTTTTATTGATATTCTCTATTTGGTGGGACTTTATTCTCACACTTTCGTTTAGTTCTTTAGACATGGTTTCCTTTATGTCTCTGGATGTGTTTAGCATAGCTGATTTAAAGTCTTTGTCTAGTAAGTCCAACACATACGCTTTCTTAGAGAGTTTCTTTTGATTGCTTTTTTCCTGCATAAGAATCAGGCTTTGTTCATTTGCAAACCTCATAATTTTTTGTTGTGAACTGGGCATTTTTAGAATATAATGTGACAACTCTGAAAATCAGATTCTTCTCCCCTCGCTAGGGCTTGTTGCTATTGTTGTCTGTTTTTGTTTCTTCATTTGTTTAATGACTTTCCCAGACAAATTATATAAAATCCATATTCTTTGTCATATGTGGCCACTGAAGTTTTTGTTCAGTTAGTGTAGTGGCTAGTTAATGACTGGGCATAAATTTCCTTAAATACTTGAAGCCAGCAAGTCTCCCAATCTTTGCCAGGTGGTTCTGTATGTGTTAGACCACATTTTCAGTGCTCTGTGAGTTTACAACTCTCTTCCCCCTCACCTCCTGCTTACATAGAACCTCAATGTCAGCCACAAATGAAAGTGTAGACCTTTGTCAGTTCTTCCCTGGGCATAAGCATAGCCTTATGCATGTGCATGATGTTCTATATTTTGAAAAACATGTTGGAGCTTTTCAAAACCCCCATGGACATCTCATTCCTAAACTTTTCCTTTTAAACTTTTTGTGTAGCTTAGTGTCTGCCCCAAATGTTGCCTACTGCTTCGGGTGTACACAAACTTAAAAAATTGCTTCTAAATCTTACAAACACATGCCCCTGAGAGAAAGGACTTTTCATATTGGTGATTTCTGAGTCATATTAGGTAAACTCAGCCTTGTAATTGGCTTTTCTAGGGAACTGCTAGATGGGTCAAATAATGACTATTTTTTGGGAATGAGGCTTTGAAAGAACTCCAACCCCATTCTGCCCCCTCCAGTCTGCTAGTTTTTACTGGTGATTGCAGACTATTGATTTTCAAGGTTACTGTGGAGCTGGAGAGAGAAGGATGAAAATAGTGTGTCCAGAATTGGTGGGTTCTTGGTCTCACTGACTTCAGGAATGAAGCTGCGGACCCTCGCGGTGAGTGTTACAGTTCTTAAGTTGGTGTATCTGGAGTTGTTCATTCCCCCTGGTGGGTTCGTGGTCTCGCTGGCTTCAGGATTGACGCTGCAGACCTTCGCGGTGAGTGTTACAGCTCATAAAGGCAGTGTGGGCCCAAAGAGTGAGCAGCAGCAATATTTATTGCAAAGAGCGAAAGAACAAAGCCTCCACAGTGTTCGAGGGAACCCAAGCAGGTTGCCACTGCTGGCTCAGGCAGCCTGCTTTTATTCTCTTATCTGGCCCCACCCACATCCTGCTGATTGGTCCATTTTACAGAGAGCCCAGTGGTCTGTTTTGACAGGGTGCTGATTGGTGGGTTTATAATCCCTGAGCTAGACACACAAAGGTTCTCCACGTCCCCACTAGATTAGCTAGATACAGAGTGTGGACACAAAGGTTCTCCAAATCCCCACCAGAGTAGCTAGATACAGAGGGTCGACTGGTGCATTCACAAACCCTGAGCTAGACACAGGGTGCTGATTGGTGTGTTTACAAACCTTGAGCTAGATACAGAGTGCCGATTGGTGTATTTACAATCACTTAGCTAGACATAAAGGTTCTCCAAGTCCCCACCAGTCAGGAAACCAGCTGGCTTCACCCAGTGGATCCTGCACTGGGGCCACAGGTGGAGCTGCCTGCCAGTCCTGGGCTGTGCGCCCACACTCCTCAGCCCTTGGGTGGTCGATGGGACTGGGCGCCATGCAGCAGGGGGCGACACTCGTTGGGGAGGCTCCAGCCGCACAGGACTGGCTGCGGGCACGGTGGGGAGGCTCAGGCATGGCGGGCTGCAGGTCCCTAGCCCCTGCCCTGTGGGGAGGCAGCTAAGGCCCGGGGAGAAATCGAGCGCAGTGCCAGTGGGCCAGCACTGCTGGGGGACCCAGTACACCTTCCGCAGCCGCTGGCCCAGGTGCTAAGCCCCTCATTGCCCCGGCTGGCAGGGCCGGCCTGCCGCTCGGAGTGCAGGGCCGCCAAGCCCACGCCCACCCGGAACTCCAGCTGGCCTGCAAGTGCCACGGTTCCCACTAGTGCCTCTCCCTCCACACCTCCCTGCAAGCTGAGGGAGCTGGCTCCGGCCTTGGCCAGCCCAGAAAGGGGCTCCCACAGTGCAGCAGTGGGCTGAAGGGCTCCTCAAGTGCTGCCAAAGTGGGAGCCCAGGCAGAGGAGGTGCCCAGAGCAAGCGAGGGCTGTGAGGGCTGCCAGCACGCTGTCACCTCTCAATAGGACATGTTTTTTGTTCTTACCAAGATTCAGCCTTTTTTTTTTTTAATTGAATAAATGCTCCTCAGATTGCTGCTCTGGTAAATTTCCAATATTTTAAAAAAGTTGACTCTGACAGTTTTTGCCAATGTTCTCATTGTGTTCATGAAGAAGAGGATTCTCAGAGACCCTTACTTACTCTACCATTTTACTGACATCACTGATCGTATGCTTCTTTAGACAGCCCCCAACTGCTCACAAAAGATACTTTGATATTTCGGCAAAAACCGTGATTAGTACATAAATGCTGTATTATGTTTTAAGTTCCTAACATGAGAGGTCTCATATATAATGCACTAATTTTTAAGTAAAATAATGATAAAAGTGACTCTGGGAAGTTGCTATATCTGTAACTGTCAAGCAATAAGCAGTCTTTCAAGTTAGTACAGGACCCATTTATTTCTTTGGATTTTATTATTTCAACCCACTTAATCAGGCCACCAGCAATAATAGGAAGAACTAAAAACATTGCTACAAAACATGTAATCATAAGATGTCTGACTCCAAGAGAACTGAGGGAAGTGGAAATTATGACATAAAGATCCAAAAGGAAAGTGTTTGGGCCAGCTGGAGAGAAGAGGTGGCTCCAAATTAGTCCTCTCACCTCCACCCTAACCCCAAAGGGCAAAGAATGACAGCTTAGACAGCATATATTCCTATTGGTTACAAGCTTGCCAAAGCAGTAGCTTTCAAGGAATGGCCTAGCCTGTGCCCCTGGGAATGTGTACCCTGGAGAACTTCCATTTGCTTTTGGTAGAGAGGAACCTAGAAAGAACAAAGGAAGTCTGACACATAGTATAAAATTGTGAAAAAAAGTTGCCCTTTTACATTCCAGTTTGAGATCTTTTAAAAAACAGTGAAGTTTACATATATTCCATATCATCCAATATAAAGATACAATTGAATACAATAAATGTTCATAATCACATTAATTGATTGTATTTGAATGTTTTAAAATATATGCAGAGTGTTTTAAAATATTCAAAATATATTCACATTTGTTTTCTGTTTTAACATTATAGCAATCCTGGCCATGGTGCTTCCCAAATTTTGTGGACAATATAACTGAGACCCAGAGATTTTCATCAAATTGTTAGACAAAGTAAGATTCAATCATAGCCTTCCTGTTTGTTAAAATGCATTCTCCACTACCCATATCCTTCATCATATTAGAGAATCAATAATTTACTGTTCATAGTTTCAACTCTCCTCTTTGCTCTATGTACACACGTTCTCTAAATCCATCAAGTATTTGATATCTGTGTTTTCAGAAATTACATGTGACCCTTGGTTAGCTTAATCAAAATATTTGCAACTCCGTTTAAGTCTCCCTTGAATGCACAGTGAGACAAGACAACTTTGATGCACAGAGTTGTCTTTCTTCGGGATGACATTTCTGACATCATGTCTGGAAACAAAAGACATAATGACTCCATGATATTCCATCTCAATCACACAAAAAAACTTAAAAATTAAAAAAAGATTTTTAGAAAGAAGAAATTGCCATTTTTTTCTGCAGGAAAGGGGAACTGCTTGAAGAATTTGAATGATGTAAGTTTGTCTGAAAGCTTTAAAGATGAAAGGTATCACTTTTTACCCATTAGCATTATAGGATGATGAGATCCTGAATGTGCCTTGCCACTTCAAAGGGTCACTGGACTACAGCTTTCAGAAAAGACTGCCTGCAAGATTGTGAAGGAGGTTCAATTCCCTTCAGGTTCTTCTTTCAGTGCACTTGAACATGGCTACAACTTTTAGAATTCGCCAAAGTTTTTAATGTAACTTCTAAATCTTTCTATTTCTGGGTCCCCCTTGTAAATTTCCATATAGAACCTCAGATTTCTTTTGTCCTTCTTCAGGCCTACATTGAATTTCTAGGACTTAGACCAGGGTTCTAGCCTCTTGCTTAAATATTTATGCTTATCACTTCAGTGAACAGAAGGTACAGGTGCAGTTCGGGTTCAAATTCTGGAAACCCATCATGCCTTGCCTAAGAGGTATCTTGCTGCTAAGACAACTGCCCAGAGAAATCAGATGTGTGTCCTGGAGAAACATGAGGAATACCAATTGTGAGTTTACTTCTTTAGTCCTCCCAGTGAGAGAAAGGACAACAGACAGAGTTATGTGTGGGGTGGCAAATAGTGTGTAATTATTTGCAAATCTGCCTTAAAGCAAGAGATCACCAATATATCCTAGTCTGCTTACCAGGGGAATACTTCGTAGCTAATTGAAAATTTCCCAAGGAGGTTATTTTTTGATTATGTCATTCCCAACATGATAATTTTGAGACTTTTGACTAATATTTTCTTTAATATTTAAACCATTAACCATAAATAGTGTTGTTTTGATTTTTAATGTTATTCAATGTAGTGGAGACTAAAAATTGTTTTCCTTTGCAGTGACTCAGGGGAGATCAGAGTTGGGTGAACCTTACTCCAGTTCCTGGTAGAGAGTTTTCCATATTAACAACCATCAGCAGTGGGTTGGACACCATTCTAAACTCCTCTTGTCTGCTTCTGAAGCAGCTTGCTCTCTCTCTGAAGCACAATAGGAGCCATTCGGCCTGGCTAGTCTCTCAGGGGGGTCAACTTTACATTTCCCAACTCTGTGGAATTCCTTTGAGTACGTAAGCCTAAAGAGCTTTCTGTTTTCACTTTCTGTCTCTTAATTCTGTATGAAATCTAATTATCACTGTTGAGTATATAGTTTTCATTAATCTAGACATATAATTCCATTTCTATTCCACCTTGTTCCCTGGAAAATTTTAATGTAAAAACTGCTTCCATATCCCCCTGTGTTACGTATGTCACCACACACACACACACACACACCCCAAGCACAAGCATGCACAAACATAATGATTGGTCAAATGTGTTATTCAATTGTCCTACAATGTCTATATTCAAAGCAGAAGATGTTTTCCCATAGTCTTTCATTGCTGCATTAATTAAAAGCAATGATATTGAGACAAAAAATGTACACTAGACAAGCTCCCACAAAAAACAGTAAAAATCTTGACATAGTTTGTGTATGTTATAAATTACATAGGATTATACCCATGGCTTTAAAAGATTTACTAGGATACCGTTTTGTGGCTTCTAAATTCTAAAATATTCTCTAACTGCCAAGCTAACTAGAACATGAAGAATATTTTGTCAAATGGAGATACACATGGTATTCCTATGGCATTTCACTGTTTTTCACCAGTAGTAAAGATTTGGGAGTAATTTTACTTTGTATTTTCCATGTAAGGAAAAAAGAAACATGAGTCTTACAGGATATGTTTCCACTCTTATCATTACTAAGAATTATTAGCACAAACGCATTCTTATAATGTTAAAAAGAGAACATAAATTTATGTCAATGTCAATATTGAACTTTACCTGAGCCCTATGCCCCTACGGAACAGTAATGCTTAAGGAATCCACCCCCATAATTTTGGTTTTCAGAAATCCCTTCCCACTTCTGTGTTCCAGGAAGTGGCTCACCACCAAGAACCACCTTTTCCCATGGGACTGAGATAACACTGCTTGTCCACTCTTTCCCATGACTCCCATAAGACATGGGTGACCCCCTGGTTGATGATGAGGCCAAACACAGACCTTCCTTTTTCCTGTACCAGCTGAAAAGGTCAGACACAGACCCTCCACTTTGTTGTTCTTTATCTCATAAATGATTAGCCTAAGACTAGAACTGTCCCTCCCCCTGAAACTGGCTAGACACAGAGATAAACATTTCCTGTTCAGCTAAGTGACTGGGACTCCACCTAATTGTACAATAGCCCCAACTGTAAATCATGCTGTGTTCCTCCCTGTGACAGTCCAGGGCAAAACCACTGTGCTAAGACATTCTGATTTTCAGATCTAGTGTGCTTTCCTTATTGTAATAGCCTGAATAAAATCAATTTCCTTACTGGTTCTCCTTTTGTCTTTGGCATCAGTAATGCTGAACAAAACTATGACACTTAAGAAACTACTCAGACAATCCTGAACAATACTCTGAAGGCAGTTGAGAAGTTCACAACCAGCTAGTCCTTGTATAATCTTTTTTCCTTTACTATCTGCATTCAGTTTAAGCACTGCCCACTGGCAAAGTTACATAGACACATAAATACACATTGGTACTTTTATTCATTTTTGTTTAAAACAGGGAATCACCTTCCACCAAATCATAAAATTCTCAAGAGCAAGATAAAGAACACGTTTTCTAAGTCTCCAAAACCCATTGGAGTATCTTTCTCACAAGGGATGGGCATTGTTAGCCTGCTGGGTTTCAGTTGATAATTTTGTCTAAATAAACTAGGTGGTGTTTTCGTTTTTTCTTTCTCAATTTAGAGTACTGAGCAAGTTTTGTCCTCTCAGAATGCCCTTCTTGGAGATAACAGATGGGCCAAATCTGCTATGAGATATCAACATGTATTCCTCTGTAATTCTGTGGGCTTTGTTGTTGTTGGTGGTGGTGGTGGGGTAGCACACAGGGGAGGGAATGAAGATGCATTCATCACCTGGGGCTATGAAGTCCATGCCTCTCCACAGTGCCCCTTCCCTGGCCCTGAAGCTCACATACACTGCCAAGATCCAGCTTGTTAACAGAAATAACACAGCACCAAACTCCTGTGAATATCTCCTGCAAAACTTGTTGGAAAAGGCAGGCTCTAAGATAACGTTCCACGCTGGCAATTTGGATTTTCATTACAATACCTGTTACTACCTCTGACCTGTCTACTATATGCCAACCACAGCACTGAGCACATCATAAGTGACACTTTTCAACCACACAACAACTTGCTGAAAGTCAGGTTCAAGTCTGTCTGAATCCAAAGCCTCTGCTCTTTCTTTACTGATGATTGATCTATTATCAAGAATACATTTCTTTACCTGATATGAGGGAGAGATTGTGGGCCACCTGAAAACCTTCACAGACTACTAATAATCCTCAGAAAGATTGGGAAGTGGGCGAGGAAATTCTAAACTCATACTTGTATCTTAATATTCTATGAGATAAACAAGTTAGGGCCATGTTGAGCAGGTCAGCTATTGTAAGCAAAGGTCTCAGATGTGGCACCAAGGCTATCTGTCCTCGGATTTCTCTGAACAGCTTAGCAGGGAGTCTCCATGGTGTAGGCATAAAATGAACCAGTGAAGAAATGTAGAAAAGTATTTGTTTGTTTTCTCCCATAGTGTGTTACGAAGGTTTTAGCCCAAAATCTAAGGAAGCAGAATGAAGATTTCTAGAAAACGCAGGTGAGATGAAGCCAAAGTGTTATTTATACAAACATGAAATCACATCAGCTCGTTCTGAATGCAGCGTAATAAGCTGCCTTTCTTAGGAATAATGAAGCTTGAAACAAAGATGTTTTTCCTCACTTATAGGAATTTCAGACAGCTGGCATCACATCCCTTCTATACTAGAAGTTCCTTTACACTGACCCGATCCAGGAGTGGTGAGAAGCATGTAAATTGTCAAATGAAATCCTGCTTGTGGTTTGGAAGGAGGAGAAAATCCCACCGCCTTTGTTTCTAACCCTGCTGAGAAGCCGTTTTTTAAAAACCCTTTCCAAAGCACTGGGTTCTCTGAGGGTGCTTGATCAGTGAATTGTCAAGGTAAATTTCCATCTACCAGTTCTCCAGTTTTAGATCCAATCAGATGATTCCAAAAGAATAGAATTGCACAGTGAAGCAATCTAAGAAAAATATATCTACCAATGTTGGGGGAAGATGCCAGGCATGACATGGATAGAAAGGCAAAAACTAAGGCCAGGCATGGTGGCTCACGCCTGTAATCCCAGCACTTTGAGAGGCCGAGGCGGCTGGATCATGAGGTCAAAAGATTGAGACCATCCTGGCCAACATGTTGAAACCTAATCTCTACTAAAAATACAAAAATTAGCCAGGCGTGGTGGCACATGCCTGTAGTCGCAGCTACTTGGGAGGCTGAGGCAGGAGAATCACCTCAACCCAGGAGGCAGGTTGCAGTGAGCCAAGATCGCACCACTGCACTCCAGCCTGGTGACAAGAGTGAGACTCTGTCTAAAAGAAAAAAAAGGCAAAAACTATCGACAAGGAGACCAAAAACTAGATAGACAAAGAGCAATGGCAACTTTGAATGTCAAGAATAACGTACCCATGTTGGTACCTTAAAGTACAGGCAGTTCGAATGCAATGCGAAAAGAATTACATAAACATCTATCACAATCACACCCTTTACCACTGACTTTCCAGCTCATTTTCGACTAATGCTCCTCTCCTCTACACTCACCCAACATTCCACCTGGGCTCTATCTTCGTGCCTTCTGAGGATGGCAAATGCTTAAATTGTCTGCTGCTGCCACAGCCCACTTAACCCATCTCCTTGATTTGGCATTCCTGAGGCTTGTGTCCCAATCCAATGAGGTTCATTCAAACACTAAGGGTCCCAGATTGAGCTCTCCAGGATTCTCTTTTAGTCCCCTCTCACCATAGAGTCATGCTGTGCATAAGGACGGTCCAGTCAATGATGGACCACACATATAGTGGTGGTTCCCTAAGATTATAACATCATATTTTGACTGTACCTTTTCTATGCCTAGCTATATCTATATACACAAATACCATTGTGTTATAATCTTCTGCAATATTCAATATAGTAACATGCTCTACAGGTATAGCCTGGGAGCAATAGACCACACCCCATAGCCTAGGTGTGTAGATGGCCATACCATAGTTTTCTCTAAGTATACACTACAATGTCACACAATAACAAAATCGCCTAATGACACATTTCTTAGAACATATCCTTGTTGTTAAGTGATACATATCTGTACTTGAAGAAAAAGGCTCTGTACTTGTGTTCCTCCCCCACTGAACTCAGGCACAACTTCTGCTAAAGGTAGCCTCTTCACAGAAATTCTCCCTGGGCTGGGCACAGCGGCTCACACCTGTAATCCTAGCACTTTGGGAGGCTGAGGTGGGCAGATAACCTGAGGTCAGGAGTTTGAGACCAGCCTGACAAACATGGCGAAAGCCTGTCTCTACTAAAAATACAAAAACTACCCAGGTGTGGTCGCGGGCATCTGCAATCCCAGCTACTTGGGAGGTTGAGGCAGGAGAATCACTTGAACCTGGGAGGTGGAGGTTGCAGTGAGCCAAGATCATGCCACTGCACTCCAGCCTGGGCAACAGAGCAAGACGCCATCTCAAAAACAAAACGAAACAAAACAAAACAAAAAAAACAAACAAAAATTCTCCCCCGATCTACAATGTGTTGTGCTATCTACCCAGTTCATAGTTAACCTATTTTGAAATTTGGGTATTGTTTTCTGGCACCTCCCACTAAAAATTCACATCTATTTTTTTTCCTTAGTGCCTTATTAAAAACTTCTAATTCCACATCCTGTTATACCGTAGTCGGCATTTTCTAATTTATGATAGTGCAATTTGGTAACATTCCAAATACCTTAAGTCTTTGAAGATTGGTAGAATCATCTTGTGACTATCGTATGGTTAGAACTAGAATTCTTCACTTTCCACTTTCAGATTTTGCTCTGTATACTTTTTATATTTTATTATTCATTTTATTTATGATATTGGGTTGTAATGCAGAAATGCTTGGGAGTCAAGCTGTTATGAATAATGTGATCCATGTGGGGATTTTCCAGTAGATTTTTGGGTTGATCCTACACATACAGCATCAAGAACTCACAAGAAATAAACTTACTTATTGAGACCTGTGAAGAAAGCAATCAACTTTTCTTTTAAAAAGGCCACCATGATTACTAAAAAATGTGTATCATTATAATCACAGTAGTGGACTAAACCAAGGGAGAAAAAGGACATATGCAGTCATATGGAAGGTTAACCTTATTCATGCTTTGCAAAATGTTTACTCTGTGAAATGTGTTCGGGAACCACATTGCCTCTACATGATTCCAGTAAACATTATGAAGAATATTAGGATTTTGCAGGCCAGACTGGCTTCAAAAGTGAGTACACTAGCCAGGGAACCCACAGGGAATAAAAGAGCACTCTGGTGTCATATTGCTAGGAGTGTCAAGTTCTCATGGCCTTGTGGGGATTGGAAACAGATTGAGGATCTTGGACTGGAGATATCCTTTGTAATTACACTAACTAGGCAGGTTCTTGGTGGTCCAAACCTGCACTTTTCATTTTCTGATAGACTATAAAATTTATCTATTGTGTTTGATCATGATCAGTCTCTCTAAAATATAAGCTCCATGAAGGTAGGGGCCTTAACAGTGTTCTCTGTTATATCCTCTGTGCCTGGTATATAATTTGTAAAAGGTTTCTATAAAGAATGAGCTAAGGAGAAAGAGTGAATGTATGGGAAGGCCGACTTTTGTCTCAACAAAAAGACTTTTCTAATTATGTACACTGACAGGCTGGGTGGTCTTCCCCAGGAAGTGCCCTTTGCCAGAGAGCCAGAAGAAACCCAACACCTGGGACATGTGATGAGATGACACATCAGAGGTGTTTGGCCACTGAGGTCATTTACAGCCTTGTGGTTTCAAAGATGAGCCTTTACCAAAGACTTTGCAATGGAGGAAGCCCTGGACAATCATACTGTAGAAAGTAAATGACTTGACAACTAATTGAACTTGGGAAATGGCGGGTAAGGAGTCAGATGGCACTGAGACTCTCAGCCTGGGGATATTGGTGCCATTGAGGGGAAAACTGCATTTCAATAGAAATGCTGACTTGTGTCAAACTTTAGGCAATGATTAGAAATCCCAAGTTTAGTGTGTCAGTAGACCACATAGGAGATATCCACAGGTAATTATAGTCAGGCAGATGGGAAGCTCAGGGGAGGCTGAGGCATGCCACACCCATTTGTTAGAATAATTATCTCCACAGGAAGATATCTGAGGATAATGCTTAAATGGTGCCATAGGTGAATAGTCCATTTAGCTATACAATTTCATATAATTACGTAGAATGTGGGCATCATACCTCCATTACACAGTTGAAAAAACAGTGGCCCAGAGTGATTTTATTGCTTATAAGTGGCAGAGCTCTAACTTGAATCCCTGTATTAAGAGTCTGAGCCTGAAGCTGCTTCTTCAGCGTTCTGCTCCAGTGAGCTCTGAGTCACCAGAACGAGGCTCCTCCCTACCATGGGACTGACTAACTGGCTGCTTATTAGCAGTGAGAGGGTCCACTACTTGTCCTCGACACAACTGTGGACAGCCCCCTCCCCATTCTCACTTCCAGTGCCAGTGCTTACCACCTGCTACCAGGGAGCCTCACAATAAAATTGCAAGTTAATGATGGTTGCACCAGCCAAACATTCTTGGATAGGGTGGTACAACCTGTTCCCCAATACAAGGCTATCAAAGCAACGTTTTGATTTTTTTTTTCTCTCTCTCTAGTGATGATGTTCACTGTGAGAACAACCAATGGGTAGCTGAGTACGGTGGCTTGGGATCTGGGGCAAAATGAGCTCAACAGGGATACATGAATAAGCTGTTAAAGCCAAGTGGAAATGAGAAGTAGAGGGAATTTGGAGAGGCAGATGAAGAAGGCATTAGGGAGTACTGAGAGAACATGGAGTGAATGCTGTCAGACTGTGGCTTCAGGAAAGGGAACATTTGCCTGCATTTGCCCAGCTGCAGCATTATAGCATCCCTTTCTGTACACTGGATTTACTCTACCAGGCAGAAAAAATGGGAGAGACCACAGGAATACTGGCAGTGGTGGGGATGGGCAATGAACTAGGAGTGCTTGGGAAAAGTAATTTTCTGTCTCAAATAGCTGACAGTAGCACCTGCTATAATTCCAGAGAGGTTTGCAGGAAAGCTTTTATTTGCTACACAAGAAAGGCTGGGCAAGTAGATTCCTAGCTGGGAAGTAGATTCCTAGCACCTACAGAAGGTAGATACTGGGTCAGTTTTTACTTAAGATGGCAGTGCTTTACATTGGAAAGCTAAAGGAATTTGGATTCAAAGGATTCTGGTTTTTTTTTTTTTGCTTACAATTTTTGGAACCATAATTCAGCACTACTAGATTAAGGCATGTTCCATCAAACTAAAAATCAAAAGCTTTCCTATGGGGAAAGTCTCAATGTTATAGCTGAAAGAGGTGACAGCCGCATTACTGCCATCAAAAATAATTTATTAACCTTGTCTGTGCAAAGTACTCTGGTAGGCACCAAACCCCAGGGGCTTCCTGTTTCAATGCATCCTCTGCTCTCTGCAGTCTCTTCAGTGTAACGTTTGGCTCTCCCCCTGTGAATAAAATGGATACCTTGAAAACTTCATCTTTGTGGAGACTATCACAGGACAAGAGAATGCGGGCTCCATCATCCACGCCAATCAGACAGTGCTGGGGGAATGTATTAGAAAGTTGCCTTTCTCAACCTCATATTCTTAACGCTTGTAAATAAAAACCCCTCCTCTTCGGTTTTCACTTTAGACCAGGAAATCTGGGGAGAGTTGGCAAGCAAGGTTTTGCACTGTCGGCATATGTCATGCTAACACTGGCTCTTTGCCCCTTGCCTCGGCAGGTACCACACAGCGCTGGAGAAATAGGTACACAGGTGCCTCCCCAGCCAAGGGAAGAAAGCAGTAACGGAATTTGGGAGTCCAACCCCAAATCCTTTCATATTTACCTCTCACAAACACTTGCCTTGTAACGTGTGTACCTGTGCGTACATTTACAGGTAAAGACAATATTTTAAGGCAAGTTCACATAAATGGCTTGGAGATATCTGACAGGTCTGATTATACAAAGGTCTTCTGCTCCACCTGCATCTCTCAGGAACTCAGGCAAAGGTGGCCTTCCATCCAGCCGCACCGCCATCCGGCAGGGGAGGGCACAGGCACCCTCCCACCCGCATCCGCCCCCGCCCCCTCGCCCAGCAGCGTCAGTCTCTGACCCCACTGGATCCGTACAGGAGACGACTCACAATCGGTCGGAAGCTGCTTTTGCCCCCCCACCCCACCGCAAACGGGGGTTTGCTTGGATCATTTATCTATCTTGTGTGCATTAAGAAACCAGCATTAGCTGCTAGTGGGAGGCGCTACTCTGCCCGAATCCCAGCCCGCCGCGGCGATTCTGCACACACACACGCACCAGCCTGGCAGCCAGAGCCCGTCTGGAGACGCCCTCAGCCCGGGGTCTGCGTTCCCCGGGACCCCCGACGCAGTCTCCCGCTTCCGTCCCCCACGCTCAACCGGGCAGGGCGCCGGGGCGTGATTTCCGATCCTCTGCCTGCTTGTTGGGTCCCTCGGAGGCGGGTCAGACCGCACCCGCCGCGGGCGCCCGGTGCGCCCCCAGCCCCTGGCTCGCGGCGGCGACAGCGGCGCTGTTCGCTGGAGTTTGACTCTCCGGCGGCGGCGGCAGCGGCGCGCAGCAGCGAACGGCTGGAGCAAGGCGAGCCGGGCCGCTAGCCCTCCGCGCTGCGCTGGGATTGGTCTCTCCAGAAGAGTGCTGGCCGAGGGTTGGCTGCGGGCCGGCTGAAGAACAGGTGCACCTCACCGCCCGGGCTCGCGGAGCAGCCGCCGAAGATCGCGGCGGCCAGGCAGGCCCTCTGTGTCGGAATGCGGGTGGCGGGCACCCGGCACCCCGCGACCGGCCGCCGGGGCCACTGAAGGCGGCGCGAGGCCCAGGCGCGGCGCGAGCGGGCGCCCCAGGGAGCGGGCTGGGCGCGGTGCCCCGAGGATGTCGGCGCTCCTGGAGCGCACGCAGGCGGCGGGCAGCAGCAGCAGCAGCGGGCGCGGGGACCCGGCGCGCAGGAGGCGGCTTGGAGGGCTGCAGACGCGCCCCGCCGCTCTCTGACCGACCGGAGGCGCCGGGGGCCCGTCTCGCCCCTCTTCCGAGCTCCTTACCGCCCCCTCCCCGGCCCCGTCCCCTCCCCCGCTCCTCTCCTCCCCGCCCGCCGCCCGCCTCTCGGGGGGAGGGGCGTGGGGGCAGGGAGCGGATTTGCATGCGGCCGCCGCGGCCGCTGCCTGCGCCCGAGCCCGCCGCCGCCGCCGGAGCCCGCGCCCGCGCCCGCGCCCGGCCCGCGCGGCCCCATGCCTCTGCCGCGGCCCTCGGGGGGGCGAAGGTGAAGACCGGCTCCTAGGATGAGTGAAGGGGCGGCCGCTGCCTCGCCACCTGGTGCCGCTTCGGCAGCCGCCGCCTCGGCCGAGGAGGGCACCGCGGCGGCTGCGGCGGCGGCAGCGGCGGGCGGGGGCCCGGACGGCGGCGGCGAAGGGGCGGCCGAGCCCCCCCGGGAGTTACGCTGTAGCGACTGCATCGTGTGGAACCGGCAGCAGACGTGGCTGTGCGTGGTACCTCTGTTCATCGGCTTCATCGGCCTGGGGCTCAGCCTCATGCTTCTCAAATGGATCGTGGTGGGCTCCGTCAAGGAGTACGTGCCCACCGACCTAGTGGACTCCAAGGGGATGGGCCAGGACCCCTTCTTCCTCTCCAAGCCCAGCTCTTTCCCCAAGGCCATGGAGACCACCACCACTACCACTTCCACCACGTCCCCCGCCACCCCCTCCGCCGGGGGTGCCGCCTCCTCCAGGACGCCCAACCGGATTAGCACTCGCCTGACCACCATCACGCGGGCGCCCACTCGCTTCCCCGGGCACCGGGTGCCCATCCGGGCCAGCCCGCGCTCCACCACAGCACGGAACACTGCGGCCCCTGCGACGGTCCCGTCCACCACGGCCCCGTTCTTCAGTAGCAGCACGCTGGGCTCCCGACCCCCGGTGCCAGGAACTCCAAGTACCCAGGCAATGCCCTCCTGGCCTACTGCGGCATACGCTACCTCCTCCTACCTTCACGATTCTACTCCCTCCTGGACCCTGTCTCCCTTTCAGGATGCTGCCTCCTCTTCTTCCTCTTCTTCCTCCTCCGCTACCACCACCACACCAGAAACTAGCACCAGCCCCAAATTTCGTAAGTAAACACTGTGTCTCAACTATGATTTACTACTGAGTTTCCCTTCTGCCCTCCTGCTGTCTTTTTCCCTCGCCGCCTGTTTTCTAGCAAGCCCCCTCCCCCATCCCAGGTTTGGGGCAGAGTGAGAGCTGATTAAAACTGGCCACCAGCGGGGAAGAAGGTGCCAGCCTGCTCTGGTTCTGGGGGGGTGGGGGCGTGTAGGAACGGGAGGGAGATTGTCAGGCTCCACTGGCCCCACTTTAGCGGGTCCCAAGTGAGAACAGATCTCCCAACTCCCTTCAAAGGGTTAACGCGAGTGCGATCCCTCCTCACTGCAGACCTGCTGGCGAGCTGCCGGATCCCGCTCCAGTAGAGGGCCAGGGAGGGAGAGAGGGCCTTCCCGAAGGCACTGAGCCCCTTCTCCGCCCGCCGGTAGGAAGGAAAGAAAGCAAAGCACATGCAAATTGACCGACGATAAACCACAAAAGGAAGTTATGTCCTTGTGTGGGGTGACGAGTTGATGGAGATAATGGTAGAATGTTGCTGAGGACGCTTCCAGCAGCCCTGACCTGGGCAGGAACCAGAAAGGGTTAATTAGAAGCCACTGGGAGACTTGGGGAAAGGAGGCGATCCAAGGCAAAGGGCTAAACTGACCTCCTAGCCTGCCTGTGGCCATTCCAAGGTGTAGACATAGATTCTGTGACCGCCGAGAGTGAGTTAACTAGGAGGAAATATGAAGGGAGCCCTGCAGAGCTGCCACCTCTAGGGTCCTGACGAAGGAGGAGTTTTTTTCAGCCCTGCCAAGCCTTTGCTTTTGTTCCGTTCCCAAAGGTGGGGTGTGAACCTTATCTCCTCTCCCTCTGTGCCTGAAAAATATAGACGAGTTGAGAGTTTTCTGCACTCAAGGGTGAGAACATCCAACCGTTTGGAAACATGTCACCGTTAGAATGTAGCATCTTCAACCTGGGCTCAGTATGAGCCAGTATACCCAAAGCATGATAGCTTTCTGTTTATTTGTATAGAAAGTGCGTATTTTCTCAACATTTTTATAAATGTTGTAGGTGACTAATTGACCTCCCACCCCAACCCCCACCTTGTTCTTATTCAAAGGAAATCTCAGGTGTCTTTTAAGCTGATCTGATCAGGATATGGGAACAGTTTGTGCAACCTGTGAAGGTTATTTAGGACAAACCCCAGGCTGCTAGTTCAAGTTCTGTGCAAGGCTATTTTGCAAAAAACTGTCTGGTTATGCTGTCTTTATATTGTATTTGTGTTTTGAGCCATAGCATCTGAGATAAAGGAAGAGTGTTCATCATTAACTCTTCAGTGATGATGGGAATACTGGGTTTGCTTTCAGTCATCTGCTAATTTTTCATTTCCCTGCCCTATGATCTTACCCTGGGTGTTACTTAACCCTTGAAACTTTTTTCTTTTTAAAGAATGTAGTGTATTTGTAAGTAAGGTCCAGGAGAGGGAAAGGGGGAAAAAAAAGCAAACCTACTTTGCTTTGGAAAAAACCGTCTAGAAGATAAATTGGGAGACAGGAAGGAGGGAAGGAAGGAATCTGCCACAAACCAGAATGGCAGTAGAGCCAGTAACTTGCTGCTTCTCTCTCCTTTGGCTGAAGCAGTCATTTTTGAGAGCACATTTTCCCAGGAGGTGTTTAGAGCCTCCACTCAACAAATCTAGCTTGTGTTTTGTAGAAGGATAAAGGATTCATGAGTGTATGTGTGAACATATTCAATGGATTGAAAATGAGTCTACCCTGAAGACCCCAGATTTTTGATCTGCTCTTTTGATGCAGTTGATAGAATAATGGAGTGTGGTATACCTCCAACCCTTGTATGCGTTGGGAGAGGAGGGGGACTACACACGGTAGGGGTATTTCATGTTCTTTCTCAATTGATTTCCTTGTGTACCATTCCGGAGGTCTTTAAAGAAAAGCCCAAGGTAATTATTTCTACCCCTCTATGCTCTCTTCCTACATTCCGTGGACGGGAATGGCAGCCTGTTTAATAAGTAATGATTATTGACAGGGCCCTCAGCCCCAAGGAAAAGAGGGGAAAAATCTGTAAATGGTGTCAATGTTCACATAGACATATAAGCAGTATTTGTTGTATTTGTATCTTAGTTTCAGCTCTTTCTCTTTTTTAAACCTTTACAAGAAGTTGAATTAAGGTATGTAATACAAGTATGCAAAATCCAGCTGAAATTGACCTGGTTTGCATCTATAAACAAGGGAAATTTTAAGGAAAAGTGGATTATGTAGTTTTCATAAAACGTGTTTAAATAGGCAAGTTGTATGGTGACTTGAAGAAAGAGGATAGTTTAGTTATTTTTTTCATCCAAGATTGCAGGATGATTAACAAAAGGAAATTAAGATTTCATTTGAGAGATTATCAGCAGTGCTACTGTAGGATGAAAAAAGCCTGAATCACTGGTGTTCATATTTTTTTTACTTGTCTTGATTATGCCCGTAAAGTTCCCAGGAGAGAAATTTTCTTTTCCCCAGCTCCTACCTCCATACTTTAGTGGGTCTTTCCGTCCTTTCTTTTTTTTAAATGAAAGTAATGGATTCTGTTGTAGTACTTGAAAAAAGGTTAAGGATGATGCTTTCGTTTTTTGACTAACCCACAAATTCTTTAATGGCCAGGATCTTTGCTCTTGCATTGGATACCTGAAGGCTTATGGAATGAATGTCTTTGTGTTCATCTTAGATCAATCAGAAGGATCCTGTCTGTAAGGATCCTGTCTCTTTGGAGTGGAAGAGGCTGGTTCACTGACAATGAACATGCTTGCTAATGGATAATAGGATTTTTTCAAGCAAAAGCTGTTTTTGCTATGGGAAAGGCCCAGTTAGAGAACTGTTTCTAATTTTCTGTAGGAATAAAGACAAAGAAGGATTGAACTTTAAAGGCAGGAGGAGAAAGGAGGGTTTGCAAGTTGATTCTTCTCTTCCCGTCCTCCACCGTTTAGGCCGTGAGCTGGACCAAAACTTTCTTCAGCGTTCCTGGGATTCTTGGGTTTCCACTTGCCTAGTACTTGCTTGCACTTCAGACTCTAAAAACGAATGTCTTAAACATATCGCCAGGGGAGATTATTTCACCAGAAACATCTTTGAAGCATTTTGTATTTGAAAGTAGAGGTTAATTTACAAGTTTTTCAAGCCAAAGGGAGGAGGTCACTACAGACAGTAGAAAACAGTGATTTTGACCAATGTACAATCAGCCTTTCCCTTTTACAGCGCCTTCAATTTCGTTTTCAGATTTGAAATATAGTTGTACAATGCTGCCAATGCAAATGTGGATTGTTTTAGAGACATAGAATTCTTTTACTAAGCTGAAAATACTGTTTAACAGGTGGTAGCCCGGAGTCATTGGCTAAATTCAAATACTAAAGACAAAGAGCCTCTTTTTATAGGTGTTTCTTTGGGTTAGATTTGGAAGGTATATGGTTAATTATAATGAACATCACAAATATCTAATAGTGTATTTAAGAAGAAATAAATGTAGAATGTACATTTGATGTTTAAGCAAGGTATGGAGGCAATTTTAATTTAATCATGTCTATTTCTATAAAACTTTACCTAGTCATACCTACTGTAATTTTTAAGAGAGGCATTGATAAAATCAAGTATTTTCTTATTTATTCTTTTCAACATCTTCATTCCTTAAATAAGGGTACACTTGTTTGCTTTATAAGCAGCCTCAGATATAATTTGTTTAAATAAAGTTACTTCTGTACATTGTATTCTCTCTACATGAGTCGAGGCCTTTAAAGGCATCCAACGTAGAAGGTACTGACCCCAATCATGCATGGTAGCCAAAGTGAGAGGATTCAGAGCTCAGGATCAATATTTCTTATGAAATCCAATTGAGAGCTTTTTTTTATGAGCACAGGCTGCAACCTGAGTATGTTTTGATTTCCTTTGGCCTTAATTCAGGATTATGAGACTTTTCTGCTTTAATCAATTATGCTGTACAATTTTACTGTTACACACTTATGTTGCACTTCATGGTCCTAATTAAAAAAAGAGGGCAGGGGTGGGTGTGTTGGCAAGGATATTTTTAGGGCCCTTTTTAGTTTGGACTCGTTGGTCTCCGTGCATTAAGACAATGCGGTTTAAGCATTCCTCCCCAGTTCTTCAGACTGAAGTGAGGGATAGGAGGTGTTGTTAATTGAGAGTCCCTTCTGCAGGATTAATTTGTGAATCCAGCTACAGTTATATTTGTGCTATTTTCAAAACCTGACCAAAAAAAACAAAAAAAAACCCAGCTGGTTTCTGGCAATTTCTCGCTGTTACTGAAGCTTTTCTAAATTCAGGTTGGGCAACAACAGGAGTGTTGGTGCAGTTTGAAATCAGTGCCTTCCTGGGAGATCCAGGATGTAGAGGAATACCATCTCTCCTCTCTCTGGAGCTACTTTCTCAGCCCTTCCTCCCCTTTGTACACAATGAGAAGAAAGCTTATTTTCAACTTGCTTTTGTAGAAATTCTTTCCTCATAACCTCTCATCTCCAATGCCAAACATATCTCAATATTCTATCTGGGATGTCAAAAATGGAACATGAAAGTTGGCCCTGAAGTATATAAGAGCAAGGGAATAGTCATAAATCTAAGTCTGTAAAATGCATTTGAATTGCTTCTGAATAGAACTGAAATTCATTTTTCTTTCTTTCTAGCTGTTTTTATCTTTAGACTCGTGTGTTGGGTAAGGACAGAGCTGGTACTGCGTTGACAAATACATTTTGAGATCCTAGAAATTTTACTTATCCACCCAAGAAAGTGTTCCCTCCAGAACCATATACATAATGAAGTGAGCAATGGACTCTATTTGAAACTTTGCAATATCACAATCAAAACTTACCTACATAAATGTTTCCTCTTCATGCAATTATAAATAAAATCATTAGACACATGTTTAGTTTGGTTTTCCATTTCACTCTTCCCCTAAGACTTCCTGTACTCCCACCTGCCAGTATTTTATAGTTGAATCATGGCTCTGACTGAAGGCTCCTTTCAGGCTTTTGTGTTTTTTTTGTGTTTTTTTTTTTTGTTTTTTTGCCCTTTTTTCCTTAGCCTAGAGTACAAGGAGTCAATACTCATTAAATGAAATTTCTTAGATATGCTTAACGTCTTGCTTCAAGTTGTTTTATAAGTTAATCTTTTGGGTAAGTTAGAGTGCTTAAGTTGATGTAGAAAGTTAAGGAAAAAAATACTCCTTTAGGGAACTGAGTTATTAAACTGTCTTGGTGATTTAAAACAATAATTAAGGATTCTTAAAACCTGATGGAAGCTAATGGTCATTTCTTTTCCCCCATAGATTGGTATACAAATCATATTAATTTTGGTAGCATTTTTATCTGATTCCACAACACAGTTGAGCAATTGAACATAAGCTATCATATACATTCATATAATTATATTTTCATAATATATGTCACATGTTTCAAATGTTTACTAAGTATCTATCTGGGGGCATTGCAATGCTGTTAAGTAATTGGTTGACTCCGAAAGTTTGTAAAAGTAATGGTTCATAAAGCAGACAATTAAAATAAAACTTTTAATCACTACAACATTCAGCCTCCCATGTCTTGATGTTAGGGCGAAGGCTTTTTCTAAGTATGTGTCTACTGGTTTAAGCTTAGCATCTTTGCTTTTCTTTTTTTTTTAATTAGCCACACCTGTAACTATCAGCTTTTTTTTTCTTTTAAAAGACACTAGCGAAGGAATCCGTATGCAGATTCTTTATAAATACAATAATAAACCCTTGCCCTGGGAATCTCTTGCAGTTTTCTTGTCTATATGATTCAGTTTCTTTTTTTATGCTTTAAAAAACAACTTACCTTTTGGAGTTTCTTCAAAGCATTCAACTACATTTTAATAGAAACTACAATTATCTTTCATTTCCATAATCATATATCACTGGTTTACATAATATTTAAGTAAATTACATAATTAGCATAAGAACAACTGACGTAAACAAATCTATTATCCCAACTGAGTACTGTAAAGTGCACAACTCAGCTGGCAGTTGCAGCAGAGTGTAGGTTTCCTTGAGCTTGGCCTGGTGGCTGTGTCCCTTTCACTGTGCAGTGGGCCTCTTTGGTGTGTTCCTGCCAGGCAGTGTGGTGGCAGCCAGTTGGCTAAGAGGAGTTAGATTAAGGAAGTGATTCCTTTAGGAGGTAACAGTATTAGAAATGAGAGTCAGTCATAACCATATTTTTTAGGGACTCTCATGGAAGGGTAACAAATATATGTGTGTGTGTGTGTCTGTGTATGATACATATATATATTTATAAACAATATTTGTTTGTATATTTCTATATAAAACCTCTAGCCGTGAATTCTATAATAGCTGTGCAACCTTTAGGAACTGATACAATCTCTCTGAAGTTTAACTTCCTCCCCTGGTATAATGAGGTTGATGACAATAACCTGACTTCTATGCCAATCCCGAAAGAGTTTATAAGCTGAAAAACAATCACTGTTTTTATGTCAAGTGAAATGGGAAGTAGATAGACTGGTTATTTTCATCCAAGAGCACATCAGACTATTGAATTCGGTTGAAATATTGGAGCTGGTTTGTTACCTAGCTTGAGGGATCTTTCATCACAATGAAAGATTATTGTTCTTATATGCCCTTGGGTTTTTCTTATATTCCTCTCTGATATCCTGGCACACACAATAAAATATAGTGTGGAGTCCTACCTCAAATCACCTTGGAAGTTGAACCACAAACTGGAGGTCATCATTTCTCATTCTTTGCTTGGAAGGTGTTTTTTAAAGCCTATTTCCAGCATATGTTTATCAAAGAGAGGAGCTGAAATTTGGGAGAAAATGAGTGAGATTCCTGAATGATCTGGAAATCTGAAATCTAAACATTCTTGATAAAGCAAAATATGTCCTAGGTGCCCTTTTGTGCCATCCCTACACTAATTGTCATTGGGTCTTTAGATTTTGGAGAGAATTTGTGTGAAAATAGGCATGTCTGCACTGCATTCCCTTGGCCACTTAGCAGTTACTGTGAATTAGATTCTCAAGAATTAATAGGTTGATTGTATCCATCAAGGAGCTCTTTTAAAGATACTGTTTGGATTTGTACTTTGGGGAACTTTAATATTAGCATTTTGGAAATATATTTCTTCAAATCTGTGTTTGTTGGAAATCTCATCCTGAATTATATCTTAAAGTATTACTTTTTGTTGTTATAAGCTTTTATTTCTCAAGACAGGTTGGTGATTGTACATAAATCATAGATTGCCATTCCTGGGCCTAAAAAGGGATCAGTCAGAAGCAAACCTACAAACTGAATTCAGAATTAAGTTTAATAATGGAAGTTTAGCAGCTTCCAGTGCTAAGATTTTGTCTTTGAGGCCTTTTCCTGGAAGTGATAGTGTGTATCATGGATGCAATATAGGCCATACGAACATTTTTTTAAAGAAAAGGTCAGCTGAATCCATGCAACTACTTTAGCATTAGTATGTTACAGCCAGGGTTATGGGAATAGAATTTTTATGCTAAACGTTTGATAAGAATTCTTAAATATATCAGCCTTCCTCCTCAGATACCTTCCTATGACTACATGCAACCTCTGGCATGATTTCCTGTGAATTGCCAGGGAGCTAGAAATCCACTAAAAGAGAAAGCCACACCCTCATCATCATCAGATTTTCTTCATTTTTGTAGCTTGAATTTTACTTTTAGTAATGTAGAAGGATTAGTCACAGATAATCAGTCTTGGAAGGGGCTTAAGAATTTAAGTAATAATAAAAACGACAGCTGCCATATGTGGAGGGTTACCGTGTGCCTGGGCATGTAGCACTGTACATTCTTCGTGTTATTTATTTTTGAAATAAGGATTGAAAAACAATCATATCTAGGCCTGCAGCCTAGGTTTGATTATCTCACTGATAGAGTTAATCAAGCTGGGCTTAGGATATATAATTTGCCTAGGACTTGCAGAAATTGTTTGGATAATCAAGAAGACTGGAGGAGTGTTTTACAGGTAATCTCTCCCCACCTCAGTCTTACTTACCTAATTCACTGTTATAGTGTCACTATATCCATTTGTACATTGCTTCTGTCAAGCACTTCACACACAGATAGTGGCATTTGCCACTGTAAACTCCATAAATAGCTCACCTGCACTGTACCTGTTCTTTGCTCTGATATGGAGGAATCTAACTAGAGAAATTGCCTGGGTTTTCTGTCTAAGGAGAAATTCAGATGTTTCGGTAAAAGATAAAGAATATGTTGTTCTGAATGTTGTCTTCTTGTTTATTTTTTAAGTTTTGTTGATATGTAATTGATATGCAATGTGCTCTCCATACACATCCTTGGGTTCTGCATCTGTGGATTTAAGCAACCAGGGATCAAAAATATATTTAAAAATAAAAACAACAACACAACAATTAAAAATACAAATAAGAAACAAGTATAGTATAACAACTATTTACATAGCATTTACACTGCTTGTAAGTTCTCTAGTGATGACTGAAACTATATGGGAGGCTATCCTTAGGTTATATGCAAATACCAGGCCATTTTATGTAAAAGACATGGGCATCCTAGGATTTTGATATCCTGGGGGAGAGGAATCCTGGAACTATTCCCCCCTGGAATACCAAAGGATGACTGTACAAAAAATTGTACATATTTAATGTGTACATATCGATGAGTTTGGACATGCATATACCTATTAATGCTGTCACCACAGTCAGGGTACTAAACATATCCATCACCTCCAAAAATTTCCTTGTGTTCTCTTGTGGTTTTAATTTTGTTTAGGTAGAACATTTAACATGAAATCTATCTTCTTTTTTAAGTATGCAGTATTATATTGTTAACTAAGTACTATGTTGTACAACGGATCTCTAGAACTTATTCCTCTTGCATAACTAAATCTTTGTACCCATTGAGCAACAGTTCCCTACCTCTAAACTTCTGTTCCTTGATCTTTTTAACTCTCTATTTTCTCTTATGGCTGCTTGTAGGTGATTCAATGTAACAATGACAGAAAACAGTTACAGACTTTATTCCTCTGCTTCCTAAAATCCAGTCAAAATTGCCTTCTCTGCCCATTCCAAGCTTACTTTTGGTTACAATAGTGACTGCAGTGTATGCTGAGACTGATCAATGGAAAAGTGTCAGGGAACATTTGGAATGATAGCCTTTTAGTTCTGTAGACACTAAAGTACTGACTCTACCAAATCAATGATGGGAGTTGGAGCTGCATGCAATGCCTGCTGCAGAACATCTGAATTCCATCTTGGAGCCACACTGCGAAGTACCCATCACTGATTATCTACCAGTTCTAAGAAGGGGAACATTGGTGAGACCTTGATATTCTGCCGGGGGTACTACAAACTAGACCCAATCATTGCTTACTTGCTTGACATTTTTGTTTGCCAAGTGTTCTTTTAGCTAGAAGAAAAAAATTCTCTTTTGGTTAAAGTAAAAGATAGTTGAGATTGTTACTTTTACAAACTTATAAAAATAAAATGGAAATAGATCAAGTTCTAAGATCACGTGACACTCATTTGAATAGCCATGCTGAAGGATAGGAATACTGTAGTGTCAGAAAGATTGTATTGTCAACATCCTGTAAGACTGTAAATGAATCCCATAAACTAACAATGACAGTTGTGCTCATTGTTAGTCTATGAGGGGGGCCACTGGGGTTGTTTGCCCAAATTTATTGTTAGACCAAAGCTTTTTTCAGCATGGTGGAAAAATCTAGAGACACCAGAATTTTTTAAAAAATGGGCTGTAGAAATGTTTATATTAAATGATAGCTTGACTGAATTCTATTTCATTGACTTTTCAGTATGATACTCTCTGTTTCTGGATTAAAAAACTAACACATTTCGGGTGTGGGGGAGGTAGAGCATCAGGATAAATAGCTAATGCACGCGGGGCTTAATACATAGGTGATGGGTTGATAGGTGCAGCAAACCACCATGGCACACGTTTACCTATGTAACAAATCTGTACGTCCTGCACATGTATCCCAGAACTTAAATAAAATTAAAAAACAAAAACAAAAACTTCTGACAAATGCCCACTCCATGCCGAGCAGGTACAGTTGGTAGCACTTCTGTCTTAACCAAATGAAAGCTGCCTTGGTTAACAGGTATTAGTTATATTAGCTCCCAAACCTGTTTATGCTGATTGTTTTTGTTACTGTAATTGGGTAATGCATTTAAGTATTCTATAAATCTGTGAATTGTGGTTTCTATTAAAACGAAGTTCATTACATTGGATATAATCCATAAACATAAGTCACTTTAAAAAAAGTGCTTCTTCTACTTGACAAAGTTGTGAGAAGTTTAACGAGAATATATTTATATATCCATAAGAAATTTGCACTTGTATTGTTTCACATGTTAAGATTTTATTCCACAATAAACTAAACTGGAAAAATCACATTATACATTATGGGTATGGTTTTTCATAAGAAGGACAACAGATGTTTACTCAGAGAAAAGCCTTGAGCTCTATAACCAAATATTTGGCAAGTGAATGTGCATTTGTATGTTTTAAGTTAAAATAATAAGTAAAATAAATTTTGTTTACCCATGTGATAGATATTACAAAGCTATTAAATTTTGTTGTACTAATTTTAAAGCTTTCGGGAAATGTTTGGTATATAATTTTTATCTAAAACTTTGGGTAGAAAATTATATAAGATATCCATGATATTAAGCTTTACTGGTCACTAGATTTAATATATAGTAACTGTATTCAAAGGAAGTATACCAAATTGTTCATGGTAGTTCTTTCTGGATTTTGGAATAGGGATGCTGTTTAATTTATTGTACTTTTTTGTATTATCTAAGTTTTAGTTATTGTTCATGAATTATCTTTTTTTCTAATTAGAAGTTGTTATACTTTTGAAAAATGTAAAGAATATACTCCATGAATCAGTTCAATTATTGGTCTTGGTTCTGTGAAGATTGTTTTTTCTTTATGTCTAAAGAGTTTGTTTCTTAATTGGTGGTGTCAGCATTAAAATGTTGATGGAGTTGGGTTGCTGCTGTGAAATGCAGATGTGTAGAAGTGCAAATGCATTTCCATTTGCTCATGGGAAATAATGCCTTATTGAAGGCAGAGTTTCTTACTCTGGGCCTTTGATGATTAGCCTTGACTTTATAAGGGTATAGAAGATGGGAGTTTAATGAGATACTTAATGGCTCTTCCAGTCTGCAGATGTTAGACAGTCTTAGTAGTATTGCTATACAAGGATATAGCCAACAGAAATCAATAAGTTATATACACATATTAATCAACTATCTGATCTATTCCAAGGATCAAATGAAAAGAGAACACAAAGGCTAATTGACAGTGCTGAGTACTAGAAAGGAGATGTTTGGTCAAACATGAATGGGTGGGATAACCAGTTCAAAGGTTTACTGGATGCTATAAGCCTCTCCCAGAATCATAAGATATTTATTCTTATATTAATTTTCAGTGGCTGGAACATAGACAGACTCCAGAGTCCATAGGAGAGTGGTGATTTGTAGGGCACATGACCCATAAGTTTGGTGATGAGTTGTGCTCAAAGTCCTTCAAATAGTTCACAAATGCAATGTTGGTCCAAAAGAGCCAGAACAAATATATGATTCTATTTATATACTGTGTAACAATTAGAAGTCAAGATGGTGATTATCTTTGGGGAGGAGGGGCAGGTAGTGAATGGAAGGGGACCCAGGTGTAGGTTTTCCTGTATTGATAATATTGTGCTGCTTGATATGGGTGCTGGTTACATGAGTGAGTTCACTTCATCAAAATTTAGTAACTTCTATACTTTTGATTTGTGCACTTTTTGTATACATCAATACTAACTTGAAAAAATAAGAGAAAACTTCAGGAACATTCCTTTGGCCTTTACCACTTCATGCAACCAGGGTGGTGGCCTGAGTTTATAGGTTTTTCCATGTACAGAGACTGGATGGTAGCTCTGAAAGTTTGTTGTTGGTGTCTCACAGTCCAGCAGATGCAAAGAGGGTCTTCCTGGCTTCAGCATTTTCCTTTGTTCTCAGGATCCCCTCTTAGTGAGACTTCATGCAAACACCCACATTCCCTTTTGACGTAAGCCTTTCTGAGTGGACACCTTGTATTTATATTCAATAAAACCCTATTTCACTCATATCAGGAGTGTTCCTGATATAACACATTGCGACACTTTTCACATATCTTAACACATGTAAAACCCCACTTGTATCCTGAGAATGGCATTATTACAGTTCTGCAAACATTAAAGTGTGATATACACAAGAAAGATAATTCATCATCTGCATCTGTGGTTTTTGTTGAGAAGATCAGAAGATATGCACCAAAGAATCATTAAGTGCTGAAATGTGTGATTCCAAATGAAAAGCATATGAGGCCATTTCAGAAAGTAGTGCTTAGAGGGAGAAAGGTAGTTTCAAGGGAGAATTTCCTTAGGCAGAGTAATAGAGAAGGGAGGCCCAGGGAGGGAAAGGTCATTAATAAAGGTAGAAGTTTGCATGTACCCACCTATATGGGAGCCAGTGAGGGTTCTGACCTGGTAGACAGACGGCCTCACCTTTTCCTTGGAGCAGCGCCTGATTAAGGAGGGAGGGTTTTGGAGGACACAGCTTGATTCTATGTTAAGCCACAGTCAGAATGGGTTGCAAGGAAGTGATACAATATCTGTGGTATTTTCAGAAGGTGCGAGGTTTCCAGGATGACTTGGAGAGAGGAATGAGCAGCGAATTTTAAAGATTCTCTAAGGCTAACTTGTTCCAAATCATTTAAAGATATTGTCTCTGATTTGTGCTGGATATATTTAAGTATTGACTTCATTCCAATGCCTCTTCAAAGCGCTGCAAGAAGCAATAGAATTGGCATGTTTTAAGGATGTTTAGTTTATCCATAGTCGCATCAACAAAGCCCTAGATTTAACCCAAAATAACAGCTTTCAAATACCTAAAAATTTGCAAGTAGAGATACAAGAAGAATAACAAGAAGGAACTCTTGATTTCACTGCCTCACCTAAATTAACCTCTTACTGTCTTTAGGTTTTTCAGAGGCAAAAACTCCTTTATGAATTGATTGCCACATCACCCTTCTGGTTCCATCTGAGGTCTTCTTTGCAGAAGCCACTCAGCACCTTTTGGAATTGAATGCTGACATCGCATCAGATTCAAAAGGAATGCTGCTGTTGATTCCTTTCTGTACTCATCACATGGTGAGGAATATGCTGGGAGTCTGTATAAGATGAGGCTCTTGCACGGCCTGCCAGAGAGTGCCTGTCATGGACTGGAGAACTGCATCCGTTCATTTACATATCGGCAGCTAAAATTAGTGGAGTCACCCACGTTTTTCACCCTAAAGAAGAACCTTCAGATAAGAATCCAGTTCATCACTCTCGCCTGCTCAGGCTTACTTGGTTGCTCCTTGTTACCAGACAGAGGGGCTATAGCGCTGTGTAAGAGCAAATGTTAAATTAGTATTAATAGCCAATGGCATCTCTCTTCTATTTTTCACTGATCAGGTAATTTTCACTGATGTCAACATTTATAATACATCAGCTGACATATACAAGTGTTATTTGCTTGGAATATTTTTAGTTTATCTATTTTATTGACTTAGATAAAGATATATTTTTTAAAGTTATTTGTTCAGGTCTTTTTGTATTTGATCAGAAGAGGTTTTTGAAAGGAAGGCGAAGCTGTAGATCAGGGTTTTAACAAAATGAGCATCAAATCCAAATCTGTGTTTCTCCTTCATCACTGAGTTTTGTAAGCTTCTAAATGACCTTTTGTGGTACCACACTGATGCTCATCTTGCATTGTGAGAGGCTCTGAGTAATTTATGATAAATAATGAAATGCTGTTTCCTCCAATACACTGCAAATGGCTGAGTCTTGTAAAAGTCTAAGGAGCTCTATTACTTCTAAATGACTAGATAACACAAAAATGTTAACCCTAAAGAGAAAAGGTCAAGTAGACCACGTGCTTGTGAGCCACAGTCCTTCTGCCTGGTGCCTTCTGACAGGCTTTCTGCATCTGAACTCTGCAGGGACTGGCACCTGAAACATTACTTTCTAGAATGGCAAGGAAGGGTTTAAGCCTTTCGGCTACTTGGATTGGCTAGAAGCAATAGTGGTTTGTTTGGAGTGGGGAAGGGAGAAACTTGCCGAATCCATTTAACATTTGAAACCCTAAATTAATTTTTAAAAAAAATCTGTTACCAGTGGTAAGAATTTTGTGATGCTAGGAAACAACAATTTAAGTATTTTATTTGAGCACTGATATAAAAAGAAATATTAAAAAGCAAGCAGAGTAATGTTAATCTGTAGGAAACTATAGAAAGCTGACATCTTTTCAAAATTAACCTTTGCCATGATGTTTGCACTCTCTTGCTCATATCCACGTATACAAAAATAAATACATAGTGAACATATTCAGTCTACAACTCTCAGCTCCCTGGTATTCCACAGTGTATTCCTACCATTGGAAAATACTGTCCACAGTGAATATGTGTGTTCTCATCCTGATTGCTGTAAAATAACTGCATATCTAAGTGTTAGGGTTTGAAGACTTTAATTGCTAGCTACAGAGTGTCTTTATGTATTGCACTTCCATTTTGAAAATTGAATTAAATTGCCGGTCAGTGAACTCTTTATAATGACAGGAGAGTGTCTATGCAAGCAAGCCATTGAGCAGAGTGATCTTTGGCCAGTGATACTTTTAAACTCAGACACTTTGCTGAAGTTTGCCACTGAATTTTCTCACATTTCCCCAGATGTTATTACATTGCCAAATGAAATCATCTGTTCCCCCTAGTAGAACTGCCTCCTTTCCTCCAGATATCAGCTACAAGGTATGAAATGAATTGCATAAAAATAAATCACACATGCTGCATTTTGGGAAGAGTACTCTTGCTGATCCATTAATTTCTTTTCACTGCTGAGTTGGGAAGTCCACTTTAATCTTCAATTATCAGTAACGTGCAATTGGATGAACCTCTTGACCTTTCCAAAATAGAGATGCTTTCATGCCAGGAAATTTGAGCTCTTTGAACATTTGAGAATATTTTTGCTTTTGATGAAAAAGGTTTGTTGTCATGTGCCGTGGGAGAAAGAGATTGAAAGAAGGAAGGTTATTCCCAAAGGCCTGTTTGATGATTGGACTATATGGCTCTATTCCTGACCATGTACTCTCTGTAAGGTTTGGCATGGACAGCAATGTGCTGTTGGCAATATGGCGCACTTTAAGGTATTTAAGCATGGACTCAGGAGTTTGTAGATTATCCAGGCTTGTTACCTCATCTCCATATGCCTAGTCTACCACTTCCACTTAGATGCTCTGCCATGTTGCAAACTGAACAGAAGACCCTGATGAACACAAGGAAGATGAGGGAGGTGATTTCCATGGAGACTGTGGAGAGGCTGGAGGGTCTTGTCTTAGGGAAGTTTATCATTCCTTTGCGCAATCTTGGTATTTGTGACGTTTCTTTTCTTCTTTGCTTCTGTGGAAAGTTGGAAATAAGATAATTGGGATAGTGGTTTTTGAAAGGGGGAAAAGTAATTAAGACACAGTGGGATGCCCCTGCCTAGTTTGGGAATGCAGGCTCAGCTCTGCTCCTCAATTGTTTGAGACCCCAGGGTAAACTACTTGATCTCTAGAATTTCAGGCTCTTCTGTAAATGAGGCTGTTGGACAAGATGTGGCAAAGATTCCAGGAGGCCAGGGTTTTAAATTTGAGATTAGAATCTTAGTGGAATTTTTTGAATTATGGTTTCTCTGGCTCGCTCTCTCCCTACCTCCCTTCCTCTGTCTCGCTCTGTCCACACACATATAAACACACACAGATGAAGATTTTGTTTTTGTTTGGTTAGTGTATTTTATGTTGGACATTTGTCAGTTTGGCATTTAATAATATCCATGTTTCAATGTGATACATACGTGGGACTTGGTTAAGTCCTAAAGTCAGATGAACTTTGCTTGTTTACAACTTTAAAAAAGAATTCCATCCCCTTCTTCTGGGAGATGTAGAGCTTGGTAGCCAGCTATAGGTGTGCTATTGCCAAGTGTGTGTGTCTCTTTGTGTGTGTATGTCTGTGCATTATACACACACTTTATGTAAATATATACATATATGTAGGGGTATATATATATACATATTCCAAAAATATATATATACATATTCCAAAAATAAGGGTATGAGGAGCCCTGGAGGAATTGCGGGCACACACAAAATATTTTATTTGAAAGTATAAATAAATTCATCCAATTCTAGATATGATATCTCACCCCCTTAAGTAAATGGAACTCTTACTTGCTGAATTTTACAAAGAGTGTTACAAGAAGAACAGAGGGCTAAAAAATGGTATTCCTAGGGCCCTATTGTAAATATACCTCAACGAAAGGCAATATTTCCTGTTACGTTGGTTGGCAAGGGGATTTTGATATCAGAATGTGGCTCCATCTTTCACATTAGAACATAGCTGTACGTGGAGATAGAGAGTAGATGAATGGTTGCCAGAGACTGAGAAGGGTAGTGAGGGGTTACAGGAGAGGTAGGGATGGTTGATGGGTACACAAAAATAGAAAGAACGAGTAAGAGCTAGTATTTACTAGCATAACAGGGTGACTGTAGTCAAAAATAAGTTAATCGTACATTTAAAAATAACTAAAAGAATATAATTGGGTTGTTGGTAACACAAAGGATAAATGCTTGAGGTGATGGATACTCCATTTACCCTGCTGTGATTATGACTCATTCCATGACTGTATCAAATTATCTCATGTAATCCATAAATATATGCACCTACTCTGTAGCAACAAAAATTAAAAATTAAAAGAACACAGCTCTGAGCTGCGACAGTCAGTGACATTTAATTCAAACTCAAAGTGGCTAGTTTATCATTTTTTTCCACTTGCTTTTCTTATTATTAAACAGAGGATTTTCACTATAGGAAATTAGAAAATATAAGTAATAAACGGAAAGTAAAAGTCAAGTGTAGTTCTACCACCCAGAGATAATTACTCTTCTCTTTCTGTTCAATATTAGTCCAGTTTTTTTGCTTTAGGAATATGTATTTGCAAAATGAAGTTGTACTCTAACACAATTTTAGCTAGGTTTTTGCACTTCATGTTACAATATTTTTCTGTCAAAACACCTATAACCCTATATTTAATGGTTCTGTGATGATGTATATTTACATATTAAAACATAATGAGTGTATCTCTTCTTGAGAATTTATTTTGCTTCGAGTTCGTCATTATTATATAAAATTATGCCCTGAACATCCGCAGTATGGAATGGACTTTTTTTTTGCTAATACATATGCAAAAAAGCTTACTTTTTTAAATGTGAAATTTCTAAATTCACATCCAGGATGACTGAGCAGTTCATATACTTGTTGATTAGTGTCAAAATGCTGATCCTCCCGTAAATCCCCTGATCGTCGTAGGTGTTTGCATTTCATTAGCAGCAAAACAAATTAACAAAATTTTTGCTAGCCATATAGTTTTAAAAGAGTATCTTCTTGGTTTTTATCTTGCATTTCTCTAATTAGAAATGAGAAATCATTAGTTAGTAAATATCATTAGTTAACTACTACTGTGGAAGGCAGAGTTCATGGTGGAGGCTAGTGAGCCTGTTCTGTCTTCATGGGCTGTGTGTCAGATGCCTCTCTGAGGGCTTCACCGCAGGCAGTGATGTGGTAAGGCAGAGCCAAGGCCTTAGAAGTTCTAAAACTTCCCAGTATAATTTAGTAACAAAAGATTTTTTTCCTGAAACTCAAGAACAGTGTTGTAGATAGAGAGTGGGTCACATGGAGTCCCCAGGTAACGTGTGAAGCTATCTCTATCAGTCAGCTAAGGCTGCTGTAACAAAATGCCACAGACTGCATGGACTATGCATGGAAATTTATTTTCTGGCTGGGTGTCGTGGCTCAGGCCTGTAATCCCAGCAGTTTGGGAGACCGAGGCAGGCAGATCACTTGAGGTTAGGAGTTTAAGACCAACCTGATCAACATGGCCAAATCCCGTCTCCACTAAAAATACAAAAATTAGCTGGGCATGGTGGTTTGTGCCTGTAGTCCCAGCTCCTCATGAGACTGAGGCAGGAGAATCGCTTGAACCCAGGAGGCAGAGGTTGCAGTGAGCCAAGATCACACCACTGCACTCCAGCCTGGACTCTGTCTCAAAAAAGGAAAGAAAGAAAGAAAGAAAATAATTTATTTTTATTTTCTAACATTTCTGGAGACTGGAAGTCCAAGATCAAGAGTCTGCAGCAGAGTTTGTTTCTTCTGAGGCCTCTCTCCTTGGCTTGCAGATGGCCACCTTATCACTGTATCCTCACATGGACCCATCCTAAGAGCTTAATTTTAAATTAATCACCACCAAATACAGTCACCTTTTGAGGCACTAGAGTTTACGGCCTCGACATATGAATGGGGGGACACAATTCAGTTCATAATAGGAGCAGAAACACACGCACTAATCAAACATAAAATAATTTAAAACAGTCTAGAGGTCTTAAATTGTGCCTCTCTCTGAGTGTAGACAGTGCATGGAGACTGCCCTCCCCGCTGCTACCCCACATCCTGAGCGTTCTGTCCTCGTTTCCACTGTTCTGCTCCATTGTGTGGGAGGAGCTGGAGAAGAGACTCTGTTTCCAAGGAAGTGTGGCCTATGCTGCTCTGCACCTGGGCCTTGCGACAGCCGCTGCCTCCAACCACCACAAGTCTACTGCTGTTCCCACTAATAAGTACCATGGAAACCCAGTGCATGCCAGGGGCTGTGGAGAGGTGGGTGAACATCAAATCACCAGTGACACTGGCTTTTCAAACGTCACATCATAAAAATAGAGCCACCTGAGTAAGAGCGGGCCACAGCGGCATCCTGTAGCTCCCTGTTTTTTGGCATCTACTTCCCTTGGGCTCACAGTCTTCTCCATGACCAGCAGGAAGACTCAGCACTGCAACTATCTGCACGGGTTGGTCGGGCTACACATGCCTTTCCCTAGCATATTGCTAACACTCAAACCAGAAACTGATTAATTTGATTTGGGTTAAAAAATCTGACCCCATGAAGGCTTTGCTGATCATTGACAAATCTATCCTTCAAGCATTACAGTTTTAAGATAGAGGGATGCTGCCTTAGTCTCTGCCTTTTTTGCCATTAAAAAACCTTGAAAATGTTATATCATAGATAGATACATTCTAATAACAGCCCCAAAACTGATAGATCTGCATACTCAGATTATTGATCCCAATACTCTCAGCAGTTTTAAGCCCCGCCCCTGCCCAAAGGGAACCCCTACCAATTTAATTCAGGAGGCTTTTGGATTTCATTTAATGTGGATGTTATCTTGTTTTGTTTCTCACTATCTGATGCTATTACCATCTTAATTAGGTTGAAAATCAGCAATTAGAATCAGAATGCCTGTAATAGTTGTTTTTCTTTTGATCATAGTTATACTCTTAATGATGAGATTATGATGTGTGTGTGTCCACGTGTGCATGTCCATGCGTGGGAGTGTGTGTTGTAGGAAGAGCAGTGGATGTTAAGTCAGGAAGATAAGCTTGAATGTGAGTTTTGCTTCTTCTAAGATACCTGAACTTGCTGGAGTGAGCCTCCAGGAGCCCCAGGGTCCTCATTCGCAAAAAGTGAGGGAATGGCTGTTCCTTAGATTAGGCTGCTTTGAAATCCATAGATATCAAACCATCTTATAAACCAAGGTGCTGCACAGATTAATAACTGACACATTGGAAGCCGAGGAGTGTTTAGATATGTGGGAACTGGGGGCACATTGAAATCATTACTAGAGGGTAAATGTTATTTATTCTATGAGCTAATTGCGGGATTTAAATTTGGGAGCTAAATTTTATCTTAAATGTTAAATATTGTACGTAGGAACTGGTCTTTGGGGGGACAAATTCAAGCTAGTAAGGACTGTTAGAGAGGAGAATGATGCTGTGAAAATTTAAATCCCACAATGTTGTTTACTAGAAAGATATCCATTTCCAGGCATCTGGACATGAATTTCTCAGCCTTTGAGAAAAGCCAACTTAACCAGCATGCCCTTTCGATATGATTGCTCCGGAAGCGTGGGATGCTCAGTTTGAAACTGAGTTGTATGTCAATCTCTGATATCTCAATTTCTGACACACTGAACACAAGCAGGAGAAGAGATGTACCTCTAAAGAGTGAAGAACTCTCTCTCTCACTTTCTCGCCATCCTATCTCGTGCCATTTCTCTTTAGGTTGATTGTTTTTAAGAACTGGTGCTCAGTGCTTAGTAAAGAATACTTTTCTGAAGCATTTCTCCCAAAGTGTATCTTGATAGATTCTGCAAACTATTAAGTAAGATTTCATATGCTGAGATGGTGTAAGGTGATTTATATTTTTGGAGAAAGCTAAAATTCATCTTACTGACTTTTCAATCTCTCCTTATTTTCCTCTTTTCCATATAGATATTTAGAAAAGCAAAGTATATTAGTAGATTTAATCTCCAGAGGATGAGAATCTAGGGCTTTTTTTTTTTTTGGTTTTCTTTAAAGATTGTATGATAAAAAATGTTTATTATGGCTTAAGGGGGAATGAAGGTATTCAGATAAGTTAATTACATGAACAAGCATGCCTGATTCCTCTTCCACACAGCCTGTCTCAAGATCCTTCATTCGTCAACTATTTCTTAAGCACCTACTACTTGCCAGATGCTGTTTTAGGCACCCAGCTCCAGAGCTGCAATAATGATGGAGATTTTCTCAAACCCAACACCCCTGGAGCTTACATTCCCGTGGAGAAGTTAGATAGGAACAGGTATACAAGTAAGATAATTTCAGCTATTGAGACATGCTGAACAGGGTTAGGATAAAAAGTTTGAATTTATATAGGTGTTCGGGAGGCCACAGCTGAGGTCATGGTAGTTGAAATGAGTTCAAATTAGAAGAAGCCAGAAACGGCAATACCTGAAACAGAAGGGTATCAGAAAGAGAAAAATGGAAGTTCAAGGCCCTCGAGGGACTGAAAAATGGCCAGCGTGCCTGAGCATAATAAACATGCTAAGGAGTGGTAGGAAGTGAAATGGGAGAGGTAGAAAAGGTCAGGCACATAAGGAACTTGGACTTGATTTTGTTGTAATGGAAAACCACAGGGACCTAGGTAGGGGAAGGTGTTGATATGCTGTATGTTTTTAAAAAGCCACTCTGGATGCTGTGTGGAACTGCACTCTTGAAAGCTACACCTGGAGACAAGAAGCTAAGTGAGAAGGCCACTGTGAGATCCTGGCAGCTTAGACTAGAGAGTGGAGACATAGTAGGAATGTGTCCTGGAAGGTGGGAAAGAGGACTTAGATTGAAGGAAAAACAGGAATGAATAAATCAAGACTCCCTCCTAGGTTCCCGTCCTCAATAAGAGGAGGGATGATACCATTATTAACTGGGATCTGGAGGGTAGAGCAATGAGTTGGATTGGGTGGGGGGATGGGGCGAGGGATAAAAGAGTGGTTTTAAGCATCTGGCATTCTCCATGCTTGTTAGGTGTGCAAGTGAACCTTTTGAGAAGGTAATTGGATATTGTGTGGAAGGGAGGGAATAGACATCTATTGAAAGAACAAATGATATTTAAAAGGGTGGTGGTGCAGGGAAGTGGATGTGGAGACCCACATCAGCACTGAAAACCAGTGATGGGATTATGCACACCATATAGACTGGGAAGTGACAGGGAAATTCTTGTAGATGTAGTGCAGTGGGGATGTTACTATCTCTAGTTTTTAATCCAGCGTGCATTTTTAATCACATGGGGGAGATACAAAAATAATATACCCATGCCCCAGGCCCCACTGCCCCACTGTAGACCAATCAGTCTCTTTTTTAGAGGGAAGGGTAATGGCAGGCCTCAGTAGTTTTTATAAAGTTCCCCAGGTTATTCTAACATGTGGCCAGGGTTGTGGGCAGCTGGATTAGAAGAAAGGAAGGGATGGCCTGCTAATCCTGTTAGGAGGGTGGCCCCTGGAACTAGGAAGTGGAAGTACCTCAGTGCAACCTCACACTCATTCTTTGGAGAAGAAAAAGGAAGAAAGTGAGGGGGAAGCCAAGTGTTTGAGCAGTGGAGATGGGAATCACAAGACCCCTGCCAGCAAGAGCCTTTATTCATTCAGCATGGTTGTCACATCAGGGGAAGAGCACATTCTGGCCCCTAAAGACGACAATGGTTGAAGAAAAGGTAAAGGACAACTTCCCAGATAGCTCCTCAGTGACAGCCACGTGCTGGAAATTCTTCAGCCTGAGGTGAGGCTGTCCCTGCAACTGTCAGACTCAGATCCCTCTCATCTCCAGGGTTGGCTGAATCTACTATCTGGGCAAAATTATGTGCAGACAATCTAAATGTTTACTCTCTATGACAGTTTGTCAGTAATTTTTAGTATGGGACCCAGGGTTATTAAAGGCAGGGTGACATGGGCTGCAGTATGACTTGATGTAAAATATTTCAGCATGCATTCTTATCTTTGACCATTAATTCCACTTTTAGGCCTTTGTCCAAAATAAATAAATAATACGTGTTTGAAGAGTTTTTTTTTTTTTGTACAAGGGAGAAATACTTGAAATATTTGAAAAGATTTGCTGACATGCATTTTCTACTGTGTAGGCATTGTAAATCATTTCTTTAAAATCAGAGCATGAGAAAACATATACCATGTAAGGTGAACTTGGAAAAACAGGTTTAAAGTTATGTATAACTGTGGTTATACAGGAAGATTTCAGAAAACAAACATTGGTAATAAATACACCAAATTGTTAAAAGCAGCTCTTGCTGAGTGATTGGATTATGGTCAACTTTAATTTTCTTAAATTTTTCATTTACATTTTATTTTATCTCATTTTAAATTTCCTTAGGTTTTCAGGCAGCTCAGATATCCCACAGTTTTAGTAAGAACACATATTGAAATAGTATTTTAAAAGAGATTGATTAATAAGGTCTTAATTTTAGATGAGTTTAGTTATGCATTTTTAAAACTCCGATTCTCCAAATTTGGAATAATGGTTTCTGCCTCTCAGAGCTGTTACAAGAATTAAATGAGATAACCAGTGGGGAACCATGCTGTGCAATCCCTGATCCATGTTACAATTTCTTTAGTATTTTTGCACTATTGCCTCTGCTTCTACCAAGGAACTTTATCCCATGGAAGTGCTACCTTTCACCTAACATTTTGTTAGTTTACGTGAAATAGTCAACAGATATGAAGATAGTTTCATTATTTATGCTGATTGAAATGCTGATCATTGGTGCAAACCGGCATCCCAGCAGGATGAGCTGTGATTGGGTGAAACATCCATCATGATTCCATTTCTCTTTGCCAGTGACTGGCTTGGGGTTGGGCATTGTCCTCACCCAGGAGAGGTAAGGGGGAATGTGCTGGTGGCAGCAGGGAAGGATTTCATGTCCTAATTAAAAGAGAGAAAGCTCCTGGAGAGTGTGTGTGTTCTGACCTGTACTTACTCTCTTTCAATGGGACCTTGGTGCCTGGAGCTACTGAAGCTGCCCTGGGACCATGAAGCTACAGGCCTGAAGATGAAGGGCCTGGCCCCTGTTGACTCCGTGGAGCTGCCAAAGCAACTGGAGGCTGTCCACCTTTAGGCATCTTGTTGAGTAAACACTCGGGCGAAGTCTGTGGGCCTCTGATAGTTGAATGTTTGTCATACACAGTCAGCAGCAGTGCAGTTGACACTACCTGTGGAAGTTGACATCTGGTTCCCAAAAACAAATAGAAAGGTTGGTGGGAGGAGAATCTGCTGTGTGTTTACATATTTTAAACATGTATGGCACCCTAGGTTTTTCTTTCTTTTTTTTTTTTTCTTTTTATTTTGATGGAATTTTGCTCTTGTCGCCCAGGCTAGAATCTCCGCCTCCCGTGTCCAAATGATTCTCCGCCTCAGCCTCCCAAGTAGCTGGGATTGCAGGCGCCTGCCACCATGCCTGGCTAATTTTTTTGTATTTTTAGTAGAGATGGGGTTTCACCATGTTGTCCAGGCTGGTCTCCAACACCTGACCTCAGGTGATCCACCCGCCTTGGCCTCCCAAAGTGTGGGATTACAGGCATGAGCCAATGCGCCTGGCCGGTTTTTAACGCACACTTCTTATAAGTGCCTAGCGGGATTACAGGCATGAGCCAATGCGCCTGGCCGGTTTTTAACGCACACTTCTTATAAGTGCCTAGCTAACTTGGCAAAATAATTTCATTTGGTATTCATACAAATTTACTACTTTAAATTACTCCAGAAATTAAGCCAAATGAATTTTGGAGAGTCTGAGAATCTTAAACAAATACGTTGTGAATTACAAGTTTGCAGAACTCCATATCCAGTGTCATGTCCTGAGATTTAGATTCGCATATCAGCAAGGCTACTGCTAATGACGCTGGGGTTTTCAGGTGGACACTGATTGCCACAGTCACTGAAAATTTCATTTAGCTGAATTCCTGGAAAATGCTTAAGATATTTACATTTTGATAATATAGAAATCAAGAGTTAAGCTAATCTAAAATTTGTTTGTATGTTTTATAGGTATGATTTACCCAATTTTGCTGTCCTGAGAGGAAATATTACAAATGATAGCTAGGTTTCTTAGATAATTGGAGAAAGTGCTGTGTAAACATCAAAATATTCAGGGCATTTGTTATTATTTATGCAGAAATATAGCCAAAATACTGGCATATTTTCAGTTAGCAATATAATAGTAATAATAGAAAGTAAAACATTTTAAAAGAGGTTTTTCTGGAAATTTTTTCCTCAGGATCACAAAAAGTTTTTATTTTTCATAAGTATTTCAGTGATATAATGAGCACAAGATACGTTTTGATGAAAAGTAATGTTTACATGAAAAAGGAAATGCTTATTGATATTTAAAGACAATTCCCTACTCTCTCTCCTTTTCCACATGGTGAAGTCGGGAGCTCCAGATAGAAATCCAAAGAGAGAGAAAGACAGGGGCAGGGAAGGTACAGTGTGGAATAATGTGGACTGTCTCACATGACACTTAAGAGGTCATGTGATGCTAGTGACTTTGCTGATGTGTCAAGGCTAGGGCTGAGAGGCTGTGTCCAGCACTGTCATCTCCACTACCTGAGGCAGAAGCAGAACTGCAGCCGGGGCCTCCCTGTGCTTCCAGCACTGAAAGTAAAGTGAACAAGGGTTATGTGGTCAACATGTGTGATTTCTTATAGGGAATTTTGGTTTTGTATTACTAAAATACATAGGGTCTGGTGCAATGACTCATACCTATAATTCCAGTGCTTTTGGGAGGAAAAGGCAGGAGGATGTCTTGAGTCCAGGAGTTTGAAACTAGCCTAGGCAACATAGCGAGATGCCGTCTCTACAAAAATGAAAAAAATTTGTCTGAGCGTGGTGGCATGCTCCTATAGTCCCTATTACTTAGGAGGCTGAGGCGGGAGGATTGCTTGAGCCTAGGAGTTTGAGGCTACAGTGATACCGATTGCATCACTGCATTCCAGCCTAGGCAACAGAGCAAGACTCCATCTCTAAAAAAGAAAAGTAAAATAAAATACATAGCTTATGTATCTGAAAACCTTCACCATTGGATAGTAAAAATTCAATTTATTATAAGATCTTAAACAGAATCCTTGAGAAACTTAAATATAGTTAACTCTAAGGTTATGAGGAGAGATTGTGGGACTTGGAGGAAAGGTTAGTCTGTACCCCAAATCACATGATTTTTATAGAAAGAACACAAAGGATGGTTACCTGTGGGCACATTCTGGACCACTTACATGTTTACTTAACAACAGTTCCAGCAGTTCTCTAGTGTGTGTATGTGTGTGCGTGTGAGTGTGTTCACTTTATAAGCAGGTAACTTCCTGCCTATATAAGGTAACTTTCACGGATTTCAGACAGTGTAATTGTAGTTACTGGGTAGAAGAGGTCTTTCATGAAATTTGCAAGGGGATCTCTGCGTATTTTGTGAGTTTCCTCATTGTTCTCTCTATAATTAACCTCACAGGGCAGAGGATAGTTTCTTTTCTTATAGATCCATATCACAGGCATGATTCTCCAGCTGAATTCCTGAGCTCAAGATTTCCTTTCTAAATAAAGGAAAGGGAAAGAGGATTTTCTCGAGGTAATGGACAAGAGTTGGGAAAAGTGGTTGCAGATATGCTTGATGCTAAGGAAGCCCTGGTGTATGGACTGTTATGTGTTCCCTCATCCCCTAAATTTCTGTGTTAAAATCCTAACCCCATATGCTGGTATTAGGAGGCAGGGGCCTTTGGGATGTAATTAGGTCATGAGGGTGGAGCCTTCCTGATGAAATTGATGTCCTTAGAAGAAGAGAGAGGAGAGGGCTTGCTTTTTCCTTTCTCTGCTCTTGGGCATTTGAGGATACGGGAGCAGGGGATGTCTGTAAGCCAGGAAGGTGGCCCTCATGAAATAGACCTGCCAGGGCCTCGATCTTGGACTTCCCTGCCTATAGAATAATGAGAAATAAATGTGTGTTGTTTCAGCCGCCTAGTTCATGGTATATTTGTTATAGCATCCTGCACTAAGACACCTGGCTTGCAGAGTGAGGTGCCTTATAAGAAGGTAGGATACGTGGTTTACACACAGGTAGCCACAGGGTGCAGGGTGCATCTGTAAGTCAAGTGGTTACAACCTCTGCCTCTCTAGGATTAAAATCTTTGGCACTGGAGCGAATTTTATGATCCATCTTCCTGAAGGAAACCAATAAAAATAATAGTAAAATTGACAACTAACTACACTGTATTGAGCATTTCCTAAGTACTTGTCATGGGTTGTAAACAACATCTCACTCAGTTCTCAGTACAGTTTGATGGGACAGGTACTATTATCTCCATTTCACTGAAAAAAAAGGAAACCTGAAGTGAACGATAATTAAGTTTCGGGCCCAAGTTCTCCCTTCTTATGATATGATGGTTAGGTTTTGTAACCAGGGTTATGATTTAAAAATCTCTGTTCCATTTCCCCCCATGAACTCTTCACTTATACTCTAAAATATCTCAAAAGATGCTTGTACTACATGTAATATGGCATGCGAGGAAATGGATTTTTTAAAAAATTTTTTAGAGACTCAGAGGCCGGGTGCTTCAGGCTCATTTTTACCACCTGACCCGCGGGTACACAGCATGTAATTGTATCTCAAAATCATTTCCAGATATGTTGGAAAGAGCAATAGGACCAGCTGTGTTTCTCATAAAAGATTAGGCACAAGTCATGTATGAGGTTTTTCTCTACTCTGACTTGTGAAAGTCCAAGCAGTGGGTTAACATGATAAAGGAAAACAAAATTAAATAAGCTGGTGTAAGCATAACACAACTGACTTCCAGAAGGGAGATAAATGTTGCATAGAGACATCATATCCAGCCAAATTGTTGCCTCTGGTATTTCCATTTGGCTAATAGTGCTTAATATTGGTTGAAAAATAAAAGTATGCCGAGAACTCGTATATCATATGGTCAGCATTGCATGGTTTCGAACACTCCAGTGAACCCATCTGGAGAGTTTCAGCCACCAGGGCCTGACAGCCTCATTAGCTGCCTCCACAAGGCCTTGCCCAAGCAACAGTACAAATTGCTGTTGTTTCAGGGCGATGGTGCAGAGTTAAAGAAAACAAACATGTTCAACTGTTTTGTGTTTTCCATGTTAAAACCTAAAGATGGAAACCTAATTATTCAGAGATTCCAGCAGAACACTGAGCCCTCACTCTAAATTTTTACAGCAGTTATCAATGTGCTTAAGAAATGTGAATCAGGAAAGTGAGTCACATGCTCAACATGGTAAACATGTATATATCCACCTTCAAGACTTCAGAGTGTGTATATATATATATATATATATATTTTTTTTTTTTGTTTGTTTGTTTGTTTTGGAGACGAAGTTTCACTCTTGTCACCCAGGCTGGAGTGCAATGATGCGATCTCAGCTCCCTGCAACCTCTGCTGCCTGGGTTCAAGCAATTCTGCTGTCTCAGCCTCCCTAGTAGCTGGGATTACAGGCATGCAACACCATGCCTGGCTAATTTTTGTATTTTTAGTAGAGGTGGGATTTCACCATGTTGGCTAGGTTGGTTTTGAACTCCTGACCTCAAGTCATCTGCCCGCCTCAGCCTCCCAAACTGCTGGGATTATAGGTGTGAGCCACCATGCCTGGCCCAGAGTATATCTTAATAAATTATTATCACAAATTTGCATCCTCATGGAATCTGAGTTTGGAGGAAATCTGATGAGCTCCCAGTTTAATTATCATCCCTGGTATAAATCTCTTGACTGTTCCCAGACAGAAAGGGTTGCTTAGTCTCTGCTTGGACTCCTTCAATGCTAAGATCTCCTTAGACTTTACCTTTTGATTCCAGATGGCGCTAATCATTGAATTACTGTCTCATTAGTCAAATTCCACCTTCTACGCCTGTTCTTAATTCTACCATCTGGGGCCAAAATAAGGAGCCTGTCCATGTTCCAGCAGACTTTTACCAGGTGAGGACTTCAGTCGTATTTTCACTGGGCCTTTTCATTTCTCAGATAAATCAGCAATCTTTTGTTTCTATGGCAGGGTTTCATGTTCCCTGCAGCATTCTGGTTGTTCTCCTTAGGAGTACAGTTGTTTATCCCAAACTCCCAAACCGCCTCCTTTGTAAAGAACTGTGATCATTGGCAAGTAATCTCCTCTCAGCCCATGTTTCCTCTTCTGTAAAATCAGGATATCATGGTACCTGCCTCAGAGGGTTGCTGTGAGAATGAAAAGAGATGCAGTGAGTTGAAACACAGTACCCAGCAAGCAGTAAGTGCTGAAAAAAATAAGAGCTTCTCTTACCAAAGTATCTCTTAATTCTTAATCCCAGTACTAAATACCAGGCGTCCAGAACAGGACCATCCTGACCCTTTCATGCAGTCTCCTCCTCCTCCCGGCTTCATATAATTCATGAATTTAGCATCATGCTCTGCTATCTAACTGTATCAAAAAAGGAAAGGGCTTTCATTTGGCTGGATCCATGGTTCATGAGTCCACATTTGCCTTAAGTGATCACTGTTTCCAATTTTTATACACTTACAAACCACTCTTCGTTTTTTTCCTTAGTTCATGGATTCTGTCATCTTCCCCTTGTGGAAAATCACAACCTTCTTCATGTCTTCAGAGTTTTTTGGCAGCTTTTCCCACTCTCCAGGTTTCCCATTCCTCTAGGTTTGTAGAACGTGTTCTAACCTGCAAAGCCTCTGGCTACCTGGATATGTTATTTTTTGGACCACAGACCTGAGTTACAGGGTTGAGTTGGGAAGTTCTCTATTACCGGGCATTTTTTTCTGGCCTTCCCACAGACCATAGAATCAGAGAGGAGTTGAAAAACAATATTTTCTTTTATATCTTTTAGTGTCGTTTATATAGCCAAAGCAGGAGACAGAAAAACACCCTTGGGCAATTCAATAGAACATAACTTGAGAGACCTGGACCTCTGATTAGTCTTGTACTTTTGTCATAATTTTTGGTTCCTTCTGGAAGTTAAGGCCGTTTCCTACTCTGTTTTTACAGGCCATTACTGGCAATCAGCATGCAGTTTAACTGTGCCCAGTTTTTGTGTTTTCTTCATGTCCTTTGAAAATCAGCCCTCACACTATGGCTAGATTGAATGCATTCTGTGCATGCATTCTATTCTGCTCTACCCTGGTATTGTTTGTGTTTTTTGCATAATTGGAATTTGCCTTCTTAAGAGGTTTCCAAATCTCTTGGGCCATCTTTATTAGAGGAAGCAGCACTGTACAAATGTAAATAGACTTTAAATATTTCTTTAGCCCTACAGTTTATAATGTTGTTTGGTCATGTTTCTTTTTAAAGACTTCGGGATTAGAGTAATATGTCTTAGGGGCAAGGAGACTCTTCTAGGTATTCTTTGTCTTAGTGACTTTATTAAAAGGGTACCTTGTTGTAATGTACTTACCTCACAAAGTTTTTGTAAGAATTTAATGGCTGTTGCAATTAACACGTAACTGGGTGTTACAGAACACCCAGAGTAGTGCCAGGCATGTGTTCATGGAGTGTTGGCTACTACTGCTGTTCTTATCATCATCATCATCATCATCATCATGTTCATTGGAAACGAAAATTTCAGTTTCAAAGAAAAAAAACAGACCCTGCTCTTCAATACAGTATGCAGCCAAATGTTCGTTTCCCAGATGCTCTCATTTTGTCCTGAATCACAATTGTTATTTCAATGAAGAGCTCCTCCTTCATTCAATTGCTATTGTTGTGAATACTATTTTAAATAGAGTGCTTGGAGAAGGCCTTTCTAAGGATGTAGCATTTGAGAAATTTCTGAGAAAGCCAAGAAACTATCTGCAGGGCATGTAGGTGAGACGGGGAAGAGCATGGGCAGTGACCATGCCATGGGAGTATGTTTGTCCTGTGCAGAAACAGCATGGCGTCCAATGTGACATAGAGTGGAGCGAAGTGGGCTGGCAAGAATATGTTGCCACGTGAGGTCTGAGAAGTAGCCAGGGTGGGGTTACAATAAGAACTTTGAATTTATTCTGTGAGAGATGGGAAAAAATTAGAAACTGCTGAGCAGGAGTGTGGTTGGCTTGTGTAGAAAATAGACGAGATGGAGGCAGGAGTGGAAGCAAGGAGAACGTTTGCAAAGTTATCACAGTGGTCTTGGTGAAAGATGCTATTAGCATGGCCTGGAGTGGGAGCAAAGGAGCGGGTGTGAGGAGTTCTGATTTCAAAGATATTTTGAAGATAGTGTAGAGCAGTGAGGGTCTAGAGGATTAGTCAGAGAGAGAAATCAAGTAGAACTGGAGAGTTCTTTGTTTATTTGTTTACCTGTGCAAACCAGCTACTTTTGGAGAGAGAAGTACTAGAGTAGGAGAGGTTTGGAGTGGGGAAGTCAGTCCTTTGTTAAATTTGAGATGCCTGTTAGACTTCCAGTAATATATGTGATCTTAGGAAAAATAGCACCATTTGAAGACTTTTCTAGCTTCCATTTGTTACCTGTGTCACACCTGATCTGTTTCTAGGAGGATGTCAATTATTTAGGAGAAGAAAACCACCAACTAAAAATTTAAACAAAACAAGTAATAGACTTGGTTTCAAAATCATGATCTGCTTCTTTTAAGAGTTATAGGGGACCTGCATCCACTGCCTAAATGAAAACACAGTCCCTTCCAAATATACATTTGATTAATTAGAAGCTCAAAGCTCTGTTTTTACTGCTTTAAGAGAAAAAAATTATCACCACATTATAGTGGCAATTTCTCTGATGGAAACTGAAATAGTGGATGATGATGATGATGATGGAAATTTCAGAGTAGCACACACCTTATTGAGTGATTACATTTTAAAATATATGTGTATTCATTTATTCATATAATCGTTTTTAATGAGAGCACTCTCTTAATTACATTATGACACTGACTTGGTAAAAGAGAAAAAAGATCTCTACTGAAACTATCCCTAAAGGAGCTGATGTTATGGAAACTGAGATTTTTAATATTTTTAGCTGAGAATATTTATATTAACTGGATAACTGCGAAGATCACCTCCTTTTGACTATAAATTTGGAGCTGGGTTGTACAGAATTATATTTAGCTCTGGGAAACTAATCTTAACAGTGCATGTTTTAAAATAGTAAGGCTTCTCAGTTTGTACACCAAAATTACAGACTCCTTGATACCCTTCTTCCAAAATTTTCAGAAGTTGGGACTTAGAAAAGTTTCATTTTGATATTAGAGATGGTATCTTACAGCACTCTGATTTGAAAGCTAGTACAATGAGGTGACTCTCAAAGAACAAAAGGAATCAATATGCCTAATTGTGTTTATTGCTACTTTTTCATCTTTGCTAGATGCTTTAGAAGACAAAGGCCCTCTTTAATTTGTTGATGCTTAGATGCATGATGTAATCTTCAACAGACTGATCTGCGCTCTCATAATTCCAAAGTTTCTTCCCGATTGCTTGATAAAAATGCAACCTTAGGTATGTTTTGGAAGACCTCCAAGTTATTTCAATGTTATGCAGGTATATAGAATTAATATTATTGATACACATCTTAGCAGTAGAAACATTTTCAATTATGATTAGAAAACATCTTTCTTAAATGTCATCATTTGATATCACCAGTGATATCATAGTGAATATTTAGGCAATTTTATCCCTGGGCCTAGTCCACACACATTTTTCTAGTAAAGTTGACTAAGACATTCATGAGCCAATACAATGAGCCTATGATTGGTAACAGGGTGGGGAATGTCTATACCTTTCATATATTGCATCCCAATATTCTATAGTAGGTATTGAAACATGCCGTACCCACTTCTGTGCCAAGGAGTTTTGTAGAGGTGATGAGTCAGGAAATCCAAGTTCTGATCTGATTCTGTTAGAAGCTGATTCACTGGCTTTGTACAAGTTATTTCAAGTTTCCAGAGATTGGTTTCCCCAGCCATATGATTACGGGGTTCAAATGATTGAACTTTGATGTTTCATGTTAAACCACCTTTGTTCCTCTCTATGTGGGAATGGGAAAAAGTGGACACCTCAGTCTCGAAATAGAAGTTTGGGGATGAAAAAGGAGAGAAACTAAGTTTGTAACCACAGAAGTGGGGGTCAGACAGCATGGTTTGAGCACTTTCATGAATGCATCTGGTGTCAGCTGCTGGCCTCTAAAACTAAGTCCTAGTGTTCACCTGAGAAGGAGTTATCTGTGTTCTCTTTCCCATACTGTTTTACCAGTAAAGATGATGATGAGAGAGGTGGTGGTGATGGTGTTGAGAGTGATGGGGTTGGTGGAGGTGATGGGAGTTGTACTAGTTTTCTAGGACTGTTACAATAAAGTAGCACAAACCAGGTGGCTTAAAACAATAGAAGTGTATTCTCTCATAGGACCTGAGGCTACATGTTTGAAATCAAGGTGTTGGGATGTACCTCTCCCTCTGAAGGCTCTAGGGAATAATTCTTTCTTGCTTCTTTTAGATTCTAGTGGTTGCTGGCAATCCTTGGCATTCCTTGGCTTGTAGATTTATCCCTCCAATCTCCACCTCCTTCTTCACATAGTCTTCTCATTTGTGCATCTATGTTTCTATGTTCAAATTTCTTTCTTTTTTAAAACACACTGGCCATTTTGGGTTTAAGGCCCATTCTACTCCAGTCTGACCTTATTTTCATTGCATCTGCAAAGGCCCCATTTTCAAATAAGATCACATTCACAGGTTCTGGGTGGCCATGAATTCTTGGGGGGATGTTGTTCAACCCAGAACATGAGTGGTGGTAATGGAGATGGGATGGTGGTATTAACGGGTATGGTAGTCTGTGGTGAGGGTGTTGGTGATATTGATGGTAGTGATGATGTGGGGGTATCCAAGGGTTCCATCTCACATGATATGTACTCAGTTGTAGCAAAAATACTTATTGTACATTGATCCAAAATTGGCTGCAAACCTGTGACTGGTTCTTGGCACATGCATCACTACAGAGTAACAACAACATAAAAGGCCTATTGATGATGTCTTAAGGGCTCTTTGAGAAGTAAGGGGAGGCAGAAAGCAGTTGTATCCTCATGACACCGAGGCAGATGTTTCCGTCTTTAGGAAGGAAGACAGCATTTCTCTGTACAAAGCACTTTCAGTTTTTACAGAGCAATAATATTTAAATGTAAGACATTCAACTTGTAATCAAAATGGGAAATAGATAATAAGACCTTTAAAGGAAATATGCGTGATGCTTTTGTAGTCCATGTTCAGGATCATCTTCCTCTTATTTCTTATAAGAAATTTTACAAGGTCTGTCCTCATGTCATTCAGTGGGCCTGAAATTGTATCTGTTTTTCCCCTTGCTCTAAAAGTTATATTGAAGGAATGATTTTGCACTATTGCACACTAAAAAAGCCCCTACTCAGAAATTTTAAAAACATCTAAACTCATATTCAGATATAGTGGAGTAAATGAATAATTGTTTCAGCCAGAGGGTTTTCTCAATTAGCATTTTAAGGTCAAAATTTACCCTAGAATCCTGTAGAATCAGTGGCTGTGAGTCACCTACTCTTTCCTTTCACATAATCTATTTCTTGCTGTCCACCTACTAGGCACCAAGTGAAATAATACCCTTTTTATGTTTCTCAGCTCTAGCTTGCAGAGAAGAGTAAAGAGAAATAACTACTCAGGGCAGGAAGATATTTGCAAGAAGGTAGCAAACCCCCAAATCCCTTTGACGGTGGGAACATCAAACTGAGCCCTTGAAGACTAGAGTTCTGGGTACTCAATAATGTTCAAAGTAAAAATACTTCAGCAAATTGGATCAACACTAATTTATAAACTAAATTAAACAACATGCATTAAATGTAATCTATGGGAAGCCACAAAATATTTTGCTTTGCATATTTTTTAACCTTAGTGATAACAATTCTTAGACCAAAATAGAAATCTCCAGTGTTGCCTGTTTGTCAAGGAAGCCTTCTTCATTATATTTCAGGTGGAACTAAGGAGCACAATTATTTTGATAAACTTCTTTTTTACTTTTTCATTTTCTAGAGATAGTGTCTTGATCTCTTATGCAGGCTGGAGTGCAGTGGCGCGATCATAGCTCACTGTATCCTCAAACTCCTGGGCTCAAGTGACCCTTCCACCTATGTCTGTCTCCTGAGTAGCTGGGACTACAGATGCATGCCACCATGCCCAGCTAATTTTTATTTTATTTTATTTTATAGAGAAAGAATCTTGCAATGTTGCCCAGGCAGATCTTGAACTCCTAGCCTCAATCATCCTCCTACCTCAGCCTCCCAAAGCTTTGTGATTGCAGGTATGAGCCACTGTGCCAGGCCTCTTTCTTACAACTTTAGAATTTTTCCATAAGATTTCTCCTGTAGGTAAAGCCAGGTTATTCAGTGGAACTTATCCTTGGAATATATGTAAATTTGTGCCAGCAGATTTTTTTGTCTTTTTTATTTGGTTGCCAATGTTATGATAGCCATTTCTTTCTCATCAGTTTGGTTCATGCTGAATGCCTTGTGTTGGTGAACCTTACTGCTATGTCTTTATTAGCAAAGCCTCAGAGGTATTTCGGCATTTGGCCAAATATTTGCAAAATGTGCCAGTTAGTCAAGTGGAGAATTCATTTATTTTTGGGCAAATAATGGGTTTTTAAAATGGGATTTTCAGGTAAAGTGCTACTACATAGTGAAAGCCTGCTATGGTGCAAAGCCTGCTATGGTGCAAAGCCTAGGAGATCACCAAGAACCAGCCCTTCCCTTCCCTCCATTTCCTGGGAATCACAGTGTCCCAGGAAGCTCTCATCTTTCATTAGCTATTGACTGAGAGAGATTTTTGCAGCTGCAATGGAAATGCCCTCTCGACAGTGTCACTTGCTTTTGGTTTAAGCCCGAAAAAGGTACAGCAGGTCAAGTCCCATTTGCTGCTGTTTGACTGGAGTGTGGGCTTGTGTGTGTCTTCACCCTCTAGCACAGACTTGTTTTTTTTTTTTTTTTTTTTTTTTTTGATGAGACTACAAGGAAGAACACTTTTCCTTCACTGCATGTATTTTACTGTTATTATTGTTGAAACCATTCCTTCCACCTCCAACCTTTCCCCGTTACCACACACACACACACACACCCCAAACCCGAAACCAACCACAACAGCAAAAAACCCAAATTATATAAAGGGCAAAGGTAATGCAGTTAATCTCTGAATTACTTTGGATTCCTAACAAAGAAAGAACCTAAACAAGAACAGCATCTGTTTAAAGTAAAAGAATGTTTTCTTACAAAAAATATTGTTATTGCTTATTTTAGAATTGCCATTATGCTTCTGAAACGTACTATGAGAGTAATAAATGTTAATTACCAGAGATTAGAAAGTGCAGGCAAGGAGAAAGATAAAAAAAGTCTCCAAAATTATACTCACCAGAAAAAAACAATCACCGTTAGAAATCTCAGGGTAATGCTTTCCAGATACTTCTTTTTCTTTTTCCTTACTTTTCACATTTTTTTCTTTTACTTTTTGTATTTTATTTTATGCTTTGGATGGGGATGTAGGTATATGTGAGTGTATTTGAGTGAACACAAGTATGTTTTTTCATATAGGTCATGATGATGATGATGATGATTACAGGCAGTCTTTCTCTGTTGCTCAGACTGGAGTTCAGGGGTGCAGTCATAGCTCACCGTAGCCTGAAACTGCTGGGCTGAAGTGATCCTCCTGCCTCAGCCTCCTGAGTAGCTGGGACCACAGGTGTGTAACACCAAACCTGGTAGATTTTTAAATTTTTTGTAGAGATGAGGTCTCCTTATGTTTCCCAGGCTGGTCTCAAACTCCTGGGTTCAAGGGATTCTCTTGCCGTGGCTTCCCAAAGTACTGGGATTACAGGCATGAGCCACCATGCCCAGCCTATACAGAATATTATTTTGTATCGATTATTCTAAAACGGCTTAATTCTTTCATGTTCTGGTGGGGGAGCAGGTAGCAGAGTGTTATAAGAGAGAATATCCCAGAATAAGTGACCAGAGAAATCCTTTTTGGTGAATGACATTTATGGTGAGATATTAAGGTTGAGATCTGTTGTCATGCTAAGAATGGGGAGACGAACTTTGTAGGTAGCAGGGATCCCAGTTGACAAGGCCTTTGGGTGGAAGGAGAGCTTGGCTCACTCATGCATCTGAAAGAACCAGGGGGCTGAAGCACACAGGAAACTGGAGAGACAAGATAGAAGGTGGGCAGGGATCAGATCATCCAGGCATCTTCAAGGCCATGCTTGTTTAACTTAATGTATTGTGACTGTCTTTCTGTGGTCAACATTCTAAAAGCGGTAGATTTTGGTGTTAAGAGCCTGGCCACTGGAGTCAAATAAATCCATTGTGTAAACTTAGACAAGCTAATTAATGTCCCCTAGTTTTAATTTCCAAATCTTTAAAGGGAGATGATTGTAGGCAATGTCTGAAGGGACCATTGGGGAAAAAAAGTCAGATTATACGTATAAAACAATGAAGAGGCTGGCACCACTTTTAATCAGTTTTATGGTTGAATTTATTCAACACTCATTGATGGAGTAACCAAGGGCTTGGTCAAGAAAGGTTATTTAGCAGAAGCTATAATGGAGCTTCAAAGAGCAGAGCAGTGAAACTTGTACTTCTCCTCCTCACCACCTTTGGAATAATGAGCCCAGGTGCTCCATTGACCAGCGTCCTCATGCAGAGCCAAGTGCTATTACTGTCTTTTTAAGTTCTTAAGGGCAGAACCGTGGCTTTTCTTACTTGTTCTTACCCAGCACCATACTCTCACTCAGGACTTTTTTCTTTTTTTTTTTTCTTTGAGACAGAGTCTCACTCTGCTTTCCAGGCTGGAGTGCAGTGGTGTGTTCTCGGCTCACTGCAACCTCTGCCTCCCGGGTTCAAGTGATTCTCCTGCCTCAGCCTCCCAAGTAGCTGGGATTACAAGCACGCACCATCAGGCCCAGCTAATTTTTGTATTTTTGGTAGAGGTGGGGTTTCACCATGTTGGCCAGGCTGGTCTCGAACTCGTGGCCTCAGGTGATCTGCCCACCTCAGCCTCCCAAAGTGCTGGGATTACAGGCATGAGCCACCGCTCCCAGCCAGCACTTTTGAAGTAGAGATGGTTGGTGAATCCACGTGGAATGTCTGATAAATAACGAAAGCCACCGTGAATCACAGCCTTTTCTTTCCAGAAGGGAGATCACACTTTTACTCCAGTGCAGACTTTATGTATATAGAAAAATTGAAACATACTTTAAAAGATGTTTAAAATATATTTCAGCTTTTAAAAAGGAGGTTGAAAATCTGTAAAATTGTATGATTCCATTAAAAACATGGCATACATCCAGAGCTCTTGTGGCACTTGTATCAAGCGGTACAGCTATGCACACTCTCTAAGGCGGGCAGCTGTAAGGGCTGTCCTCTGCTTCTGGCATGCCACATTGGCTAAATATATCGACCATCACCTCTGCATGCACAGCAGTAATTATTGACGTATTCCTGATGGTTTTCTCTGGCTGTGAAATTATGGGAAATTAAATATAGTTTATATTTTTACAATGAACACGTATTACCTTTATAATAAAAAATAAAATTAAAAATCACTTAAAATTTCTTCAATTCTTTTCACACTCCTCTTCATGTAACTTCATATTTGTATCCAGCACTCACAACTCCAAGGACCATGCCCACGTATTCTTTTAGAATTTTAAAAATAAATTCCAGTAGGTCTTTCAAATACTGAAATCTCAGCACTGAAGTAGATTGCAGTGGGGCATCTGATGGGTACATTTCAAAAATGCTCAATTTGCTCTTAGGAGACTTGAATTGGCCAGGCGCAGTGGCTCACACCTATAATCCCAGTACTTTGGGAGGCCGAGGCAGCAGGATTGGTTGAGACTGGGAGTTCGAGACCAGCCTGGGCAACATTGCGAGACCCTGTTTCTGAAAACAAACAAACAAACAAACAAACAAAAATTTAAAAATCAGCTGGGCATGGGGGTGTGTGCCTGTAGTTCTAGCTACTCAGGAGGCTGAAGCAGGAGGATTGCTTAAACTCAGGAGTTCAAGGATGCAGTGAACTGTGATCATGTCACTGTACTCCAGTCTGGACAACAGAGTGATAGCCTGTCTTTAAAAACAGAAAGCAAAAAAAAAAAAAAAAAAAAGAAAGACATGAATTGTATGATTCCATTTTTGCTTTGGTCATTTACTGGGTGTAAACTCTTGGGTTTTCCTTATCTGTAAAACAGAGAAAACAGGGCCTCCTTTATGTGAGTTATAGATTATCTGATGATTCAAATAAGATATGAAAGTACTTTTAAACTAACGACACAAATACTAGCTGCTATTTATTTAAGTTATGATTCATTAATTAGTGTATCCTGTGAAGGCTCCAGTTTTGTTTTTATCAAAGATCACGTGGAGAAATGGCTTGCATTGGGATAATTTATAACTTATTAAAAGTTTGCTTCTCATTAAGGGACTATTCTCTTTGGAAATTAGGTATTAAATATATGGTTTTTGTGGCAACACTGGGATGTGTGCTGTACTGCTCCTCCCTAAAAAAAGATCTTTTTTATATTTTAAGCATTAATCAGACTTGAGGCTATTTGCTTTCCCATCCTCAGACCCTCAAGTGCTTGTTGTAGGTTGGATTGTGCTTGATATTCAGAATTGAGTATAAAAGCATGTGCTCTGCTCGTGGTTGGTCAGCTGCCTTGGAGAGGCTAGATTCTTCATCATGGCACAATTACAGAAAAATACAGGGTTTTCCTGAGTGGCCAAAAAGGAGATGAGGTGGGTGTTGGGCAATTAGGACCTTATTTCTTTAAGTTTCTCCTGAAATTGTTAAAGTCAGCTCACACTTCTTTAGTTTTTTTTTTTTTTGCCAAAACACAAGGCATCAAATAATGTTGGAAAATATCCTTGGTGCTCAGCTACAGAAGTTTCTTGAATCCACAAGTAATAAGGAGCTATTTGGCATCATTAAATACGGAGTGTGGGTTTATCACTCCAGTAAATGAATCAGGAGAGAATACTGAGTTAGCTTCCTGCTGAGATGTGGAGGACACCTGGAGTTTATCTAGCACCTCTCTGTGAGATCCCTGAGAGCCTCCTCGATGAGAATGCAGGTTTATTCCTTCTACCTGCTGAGGAGACAGAAAATTAGCATGATAATGGTGATAATTGTTCTGTCCTCTGGACAGCCTGGACATCAGGGAAGCTTTGAGGTTTCAGTAAATGCTTACTTATTCCTCTGCTCTTGGTACAGGCCCGTCTCTTGGTCAAGATGAGAGATACATAGAAATATAATATAAGCCCCATCTGTAACCATATGAAAAAAGTAAAAAGAAATAGACAAATTAATTTTAATGATCTCACTTAACATATCTAAATTATTATCATTTCAACATGTAATCAACATAAAAATTAATGAAATATTTTAAATTCTTTTTTTAGTTGTATGCTACATATTCAAACTCTGGTGCGTACTTTTTACTTAGAGCATGTCTCAGTTCGGACTAGCCATGTTTCAAAGGCCTTTTCACCACTTATGGCTAGTGGGGACCATGTTGGACAGTGCAGGTTTATTCCTTACCAACCTGGCCCATAGTAGAAAGTGCTGTTTCCATGAGACAGCCTTTACTCCTCAGTAAGTATTTACTGGGCATCTAATATTTGCAGTTTACTACATTTTGGTTATATAACCATATAACTTGAATTTAATGAATGAATCAAGAAACATAATAATAAATAGTATAAGTAAAGTTTCTGGATATCTGTTTGCTAACTGTATGATACAGAAGCAGCTGAGTATGAGTTTTCATGAATTTGCAGTGTAGCTTTGGGATCATCCAAGTTACAATTATAGGCTAGGTGACATAAAAGACATTGGCATTGGGGGGCTTTGTGTAGCATCAGGAAGAGCTAGACAGTCATCTCCTAAAAGCAGGTGAAACTGAAATAGAATAACGAACCCAAGGGTCTGCTGTCGAAGAGATGTAGTGTACTATTTAGGTGTCAGAGACTGAAAAAATACATAGTGAAGGTGGCTATGAGCACAAACTCTAGTAGAAGGGCAGGCATTGCTAATTACAGGCCTTGATTTGTATTTGAGGCACATCTTTTCTTGGGCATCTCCTGAGTTCCATGAGGACAGCCAATGAGTAGTGCCTAATAATTGTACTGCCTTTCTGCCAGGTGCCAACTCATGTTCGCCAATGTTTGAATACATTTTCAAACTTAATTTTTACAAAAAATGTCATGAAATAGGCACTATTATTATCTCCATTAATTAATGATGAAATTGTAAATACACTGATGTTAAGAAGTGGGACTAGGACCACATGGGTATTAAGTAGAGGGACCAAAACTTTGGCCCAGTTTTATCCAACCCCAAAACATATAATTTTAGCTTATAATTCTCTTCAAATTAGACAATACCATGGCTCAAAATATAAATAACTAGTCAGAGATTAAAACATGTATCTGTATGAATGGAGAAGCTTGATTGCATGTCTGATTTTAACCAGCTTAGATTAAAATTAAATTATTAAGTGTACTTAAATTAACTTATTCAAGAACCAATTCAGAGGCCACTTTCTATAAAGAGCCCCACTTCAAGTCCCTTATTTGGAATGCATCTCTCCTTCCTCGGCTCTCCCCAAACAATTTACACATCTCTTGGTGCATAATAACCTTCTCTTTTGATTATAGTTATACATGAGCATGTTTTATCTGCCTTTTCTCTCCAGCCACTACGTGTGTCTTGTACACAAAATAGCTCCTCAAAATATGTTTCAAATAGATGAACTAAATGACTAGATGGATGGAAAGATGAACAAATGAATAAATAAATGAATAAAACTATTCCTGTCCCCTTCAAAATAAGAGAAGTGTTTGTATAAATTACCTTGAGAGTAGGTAAAAACCCTTTGCAAAAAACCCCAGGGGTAAAACCCTTTGACTATGGCAATAATATGCAACATAACTATTGTAAGAGGAGGGCAGTTTTAAAAATTCAAATAGTCATGTACTTGAAATATTAACTATTCAACTATGCGTGTACTGGTTTATCATCCAGCACATAGATACAGTTTGTCTTTCACTTCACAAAGCTAGTTTCATGCATTTTAGAAAACGTGTTTTTCCCTGACCCCCCTCCAAGCTGTACTTGACAGGGACAAAACTGAGAGCATTGGGCACTGCAGGAATCATTGTGAGCTTTCAGGAGGGGAAAGTCATTTCTATGACTAGTACTTTTCAGGAGACATGGGTGTGGTTTTCTCTTTTCGCATGTTTTAGACAAAAGTGGCGGACTGATGAGTTTAATACAATGGAATACCATGGCTTGTGCATGAGGGAGTAACTTTTTACAGGAATGTTTATTATCTTTGTCATCCGAATCCATATGCCATGCTCAGAAAATACAATGGATCTGTGTCCCGAGTGGAACAGAAATAGTTTTTTCATGCTGAAATGTGTTTTGGTCACCATTTGACATTTTTAAGAAGCAGCTCTGTGAAATATTTTTGAAAGTGGATTTATGTATTCATATTCATTCATGTGCTGTTTTTTCATCTATATATTCCCCATCTTATTCCAGAAAGGATTTAAGCTGGCTCATGCATTTGTTGTATTTGGAATGTTTCTTTATAGGTCAAGGACTAGTTTCCCAGTGAATTGATTTAAAGAACTGCAGTCCTCTGACTCAGGCTTGAATTCACATATGATATTGGCCATTTGGGATATCTCTCTGTTATATGGGCAGAGTAAACACAAGTATAAATCTGTGACAACATTTTGGATTTCTCAGATCAGGTACTCCATCATCTGCTTTTTATCACGTACAAAAGAAATACAAGGCCATTTATTTCCCTATTACCCTGTGTTCTGGATTTTTCTATTTATAAATGATATTTTATATGCTCTGTTTAGCAGTTAGTAATGAAGCATAAAGGGAAGCCATTTTAATTAATGCCTTATTTGCATGTGTAGCATGCACCTCTTTTCTTTGATATTATTGGAAAATTATTTTAAATTCAGTCAAAAGAAGATGCTTTAGGCAAATGAGGACTTGCTGATAGAGAGCTGTATTATTTTATTTTACTAATGAAATGCTGTTAATTTTTTCTCTGTATTTTACCTGCTGCAACTGGTTTCCTTGACTTTGTTCATACTACTAGGATTTTTGCAAAAAACAAAAACAAACACAAAACTGGCCATAAGCATTGAATAGAATCATTGCAATTTTCTGTCAAACGAGTTTTGAAATACATCTGGTGTTTAACAACACATTGCTTATTTATTTATTTATTTCAAATCATTAACTACTATTGCATCATAACAAAACACACACACACACACACACATACATACACACACACACACACACAGCTTTGGTTCAATTATACTATATAGCCCTCCTGTTTCCATTGTGTTTGGGGGAAGTAAATGTAATAAATATTTTTAAATTCAGTAACCCATCTGTTGAATTCTTGTTGGAATTAACTGAGAGTTTGTATGGAAAAGGCTTAGCCTAGAACTTCATATGTATGGGACTAGGGGATAGAGCACTTGAAGGGATGGCATGGGCCCCAGGGCTGAAAAGAAGTGCTGAGTTAGGATAGGATATAAGAATATATAAGAATAGGATATAAGTGTGGCAGCGCTGAAAATCAGATGGACATTGCTTCAAAACCGAGCGTCGACACTTGATCTGATCTGCCTCTTAAACCTCTTTGAACGTCTCCTCCCTAATCTGTGATGGCAGAATGGTAATACTTATTTTGAAGTTGTGTCAGGATTGGTAGCAGCGTGCAGAGATTACAGCATGTATTATGAACTCATAAATAACATTGCCTGGGGTGTTATTTTCATTAACTTCATCATCATCATCATCATCAAATATAATCCATTGCTTCAAAGAATTTATAGTCTAGTAAGGGATAAAAAGATTGTGTGTTTGTATTAAAGATGGGGTGGAATTCTTATTAAGTATCAATTTCATTGCCAACATGGACATGGCAAATGACAGGTTCCCCCAAAAATTATTGAGGGAAACTGAGATTAGATATTGAGGAGATTTTGGGACACCAAAACCAAGGCAAATGAAGCACTAAGGCACTCGACAAAATGAGACACCCATGAATGTCCAGAGGTATCACCTCAGAAGTTGGTCTGAGGGGCAATTACACAAGCAGAGCTGAGCAGAAACAGTGGCAATGAGGGGTGAGTGCAGCCAACCAGGAAACCTGCCGTCAATTGTGTTTTATTCTTGGCAAGGCCTTATTTGAAGTTTTCTTTCTTGATTTTGTTCTTCCCCGCTACTGCTAGCCACATCTGACAGATACACTAATATACGAAAAATTAAATAACAATAAAAATAACTTTATAAGACGTGCCTCAAGGCAGAATGAATATCAAGTACCAGATGATGATGGAAAGAATTCTGCTGGAGTTCAGTGGACACAGCTGTCTTATGGCCTGAGGTGTAAGGATGACACTATGAGAAAGGGAGCCTTGACTTCACTTTTGAAGAAGTGTGCAGGGAGCACGCTGGGAAAAGGAGGGCTGGAAAAGAGATGAGATCTTGCTGGATCAACTGAAGCACCTGCCACCTGCTTGGCAGGACAGGAAATCTTAAAGTCAATGCTCCTCACCCTTAGCACCCTGCAACCAAAAAGAAAATTCGAAGGGTTCCTCACTCTATTTGATTGGAGTTTTGAAGAATCTGTGGCATCGATTCCTGGTGCTTTGCTGCCCAGGCACCCCTAATCTTAGCCCCCACCACTAGGGGGCCTCCCTCTAGTCTCCTTCCTTCTAAGCATTGATCACAGCCCACTCAGGTTTAATAAGCATGACTATCCATGTCTAAAAAAAAAATGATACTTTATGACATCAATTTGTTGTGAACTTTTCAAGCTTTTCTTCCCAAATAGCATATGGATATTCAATTTGGAAAATTTTGATATAGGTTTAAACAAAATCAAATTCAAATAATCTGTAATTATGCCAACCCCAGAAAGCTAATGCTTTTGCTTATTTTTAGATATACTTCCAAATTTATAATATTATGAATAGTAGTACACGTCAGTAAGTACACATCTTATTTCACAAAACATGGGCTCACATTTTTCTAATTCATCTTATTCACTTAATGTTTTGTGAACATTTTTCCTTGTTATACATCTACTTCAGTAACATTTTTTACAATCTGAACAGAAATTAATTGTATAGAACAGAACAGGATTCCTTTGTTCATTTTTATATATGTTTCTTCTAATGTTTTTCTCATAACCTAATATGAAAGTGATAGGTTGTGGCTACATGTTTACTTATATTCATAATAACATTTTAGGATATATTTTGCCAGAATGTATTTTATGGTCAAATGGTATTTACATTTTAAGTCTTTTTGGTATGTATTTGCAAATTGATTTTAAAATATTGATATTGATTTATGTGAAATGGGAATGTTTGAGAGTGCCCCTTCTTGGATTCTTAGCCAATACTGAGGCTTGTTATAATAAATAAATAAATAAACAAATAAAAGCCTTTTCTCCCACTTTGATGGGAGAAAAATGGGATTCCATCATATTGTCATGCTAATCTCCACTAATTATAATTGCTAATTGTATTATTTATTTGTATATTCTTGATTGTGATTTGTTTGCTTATAATATTTGCCTAATCCTGGAGGTATTTATACTTCATTATCTTATTTTAGATAGTTCTTAATATGTATTAATAATAGTAACTCCATCTCTGAAAGAAATGCCAAGTAGTTTTGCTTCACATAGTCTGTCTGCTTAATATCTATCTGGATTTTTCCCCAAGTCAAACCTCTTAGTCTTTTCTTTTATGGTTTTTAACTTGTTAAGTAAGACTTTCCTCAATTCCAATTATTGAAATATCTATCTATCTGTCTACATTTATGCCTACTATGTTTATGATTGGATTTTTTATTTGTAAGATTTAATGTTTCTTAGGTTATTTTTGATGAGAATAAAGGATCCAGTGTGTAATTTTGACTGCTTGTACATATTTAGTCTGTTTTGTTGTTCTGGCCATTCCTTTTTAGTAGCAAGCACTATAACATTCAGGGAAATTTTCAATAACTAGTAATGCACATCTTAAAAATGTTCTGACTGTTTTCACTTCTTATGAAATTTAGACTTATTTGTTGGAACTCCAATACAATTTCTAGTGAAACTATGAATGGAAATGACATTTATGTTAATTTGAGAAGTAGGTTCTTTGCAATATCATTTTTTATCCTATAGCAACATTTGTCTCTCTATTCAAGCCTTCTTTTCTGTCCTTTTGTGGAAATGTTATGGTTCCCTTCATATAATAAGGTCTTATACAGTATATTCCCAAGTGTTTGCATTTTATCCTTGTCTCATTTCTTGATTTAAATGGAATGCCCCAGGTATTATACTATCCAGTTTAAATGCCCACTATTGCTATTTAGACATTTTAAATTAGGAATCAATGTTGAAATAGTTAACGACTTTTTTTGTCATCTCATCATTTGTTAAAAAATTTTTTGACTTAGTTATATTAGGGGTTAAATTTAGAATCCCTTATATTGGCACTAACTTGATCGTTTTTTAACAAATCCTCCTATGATAATGTTTTGTATTATTACATGACTTTTTTGAATAACACAAGTGCAGTTTTGTTACATAGATATTTTGCTCAGTAGTAGCTTTTAGTGTAACCATCACTTGAATAGTATACATTGTACCACTTAAGTAATTTCTCATTCCTTACACCCTCACATCCTTCCACCCTTCCAAGTTTCTAATGTCTATTATTCCACACTCTATGTGCATATGTACATATTATTTAGCTCCTACTTATAGTGTGAACATGCAGTATTTGACTTTTCGTTTCTGAGTTATTTCACTTAAGAGAATGGCCTCCAGTTTATCTCCATTGCTGCCCAAAACAAGACATTGATTTAATAATTAGGATTTCAGATTTACATTCATATAAAAATTTGTCTTTAGTTTTTTCTTTTCCTGTCTTTCGGGGGGTCAGGTGTGGGCATCAGTTGATGCTAGATTCTTGATTTGTAAAGCATTCCATCCTTTTCAGTGCTCCAGAGAGAAAATATTTGAAAGAATTTACGTGTGAGCTGGGTTTGGAATGATTGTTCTTAAAAATATTTTTAAATGTCCCAAATATTTGCTGACAGATTTATAGAATGTCTAGGATTTGCTTAAAAAGAGCCTCAGGAACAGCATGGAGGGAGGATCTGTGGGAGTATTATAAAACTCTGAGTATATGGGCTGGTTCCTTGTACATTGTTTTGCTTTTATACATGTTTGACATATTCAAAAAAGTTTCTAAAAATGAAATCACCTGCAAAATGTTTTCAGTGGTGGTTACAGATTTTCTAATGCCTCTAGTAATTTTGGTAATTTACATATTATTAGGAAATAATGAGAGTTTAATATTCTTAAACATGTGTTTTTATCAAGTCTCCTGTGTCTAATATAGTGCATTTCTGTTTTATCTCTTAATGAGATTAGAATTTCACTTTAAAATCATCTTTCTAACTCACAACTCTGATCAGACTACCTACCTGTGGGCAACTGCTTTACTTACTCAATCGAATTTGGAATGCGGTGGCGCGATCTCGGCTCACTGCAAGCTCCGCCTCCCGGGTTCACGCCATTCTCCTGCCTCAGCCTCCCGAGTAGCTGGGACTACAGGCGCCCGCCACCGCGCCCGGCTAATTTTTTGTATTTTTAGTAGAGACGGGGTTTCATCGTGTTAGCCAGAATGGTCTCGATCTCCTGACCTGGTGATCCGCCCGCCTCGGCCTCCCAACGTGCTGGGATTACAGGCGTGAGCCACCGCGCCCGGCCGAATTTGGAATTTCTTGTGGGGTAGGCAACAAAGCCTTCATGCGCTGACTCCAGGTGCCTCTCAAACCTGAGCCCCAGCTTTGTTTTCTCCTCCATTTTCCCACACTCCTAAGAGACACTTGGAAATTCTTCCTCCTCAGCCTGGGGTGCTGTCAGCTGTAAAACAGTGTCCATCTTCTCCAAGACCCCCGGAGAATGCTGTTTCTCTTAAGCCTTCCACAAATTCCCCCTTGTTTTATCTTCTGTCCCTTCTCTGAACCACATAATGTTTTGTTCAGACTGTGGTATAGCCTTAATTGTACTGTATGACGTTTGCATGTTTGGAAACCCACCTTGTTCTTTTTTCCACCTACTCTGCTAGCAGAGGCCTTTGCCCTCAGGTGGCATGGGGAGAATATTTATAGGGTGAGCATGTAGAAACAGGCTGCGTATGTGCCTTAGGCCAGCAGTCTTGTTGTATGTCTGCAGCACTGAAATAGGTGCTCGTTAAATGTTTGTAGGATGAATGCTGAGTGAATGCAGTGGACAGGATACAGGCAGGTGATTGGGAGCCCAGTAGGACTGACCCCGGTGGGATTAGTAGAGAGAAGTAGTGGGAGATAACTTGGGGTCATGTTGTCATTCACAGTTTGTGGATGGGAGCAGGTAGGGCTGGTGGTGACTATAGGAGGCACAGAACACGTACACAGCTCTTGCTCTTCAGAGGTTACCACAACAATGTGTATCTTTTCCAACTCATAATTAGTAGAAATGATGTTTGTATTAAGGTAACAGAAATATGCTCCTAAAGTACTTTCTCATTATATCCAAATCACTTTATCATCATTTGTTTTACTGTAGTTACACCACAATGTAAATAAAAGCATTTAGAAAGACAGTTGTCTGAACTTCAAAGCTGTTTACATAGAGGACATTTGCTAGACTGGGCTTTTCCTCCATGTACCCTTGGGTGAGCTTGTGGTCTTCCCCCTAAAGATCACAGGCTATTTTACAAGTTTTCTTGTGAGCTGTTCAGCTTTCTTATAAGCATGAGTTACACCAGGGAGTTCATTTGGGTGGACAGAGTCCAGAAATGTCCTGTTTCGACTGGTTTGTTTAAGATGGCCATCAACATGTGAGGTAGGGAATGTGGACTTTCTATTATGGGGCTTTTTAAGACTCTAGACCATCGTTCGAATTAATTTCGTTAGCCAAAGTTTTAGGCCTTTTGTCCAGTGTGCTCATTTGCTTCTTGGTTTGCTGGTATTATTCAGATCAAAGAAGGTCGGTCACTGGAGGAAAATGGCCAGCATCCATAACAATGTGTACAGTTACTGTTGTTTAATTGAGTGGATTTCCTGTTTGATAATTACTATTCTGTAGTTCTTGTGTGTGTTTTGAGGATGAGGGAGGAGGGACATATATGACATTTGTATATTTGCAGGTGAAAGAGAAAAAAAAGGCCTAAAGAAGGGGAATAATTAAATATGCTTTTAGATTGTCAAGCTTCCTTTCAGTCCTATGCTCTGTGTGTTTGATTCAAAGCTATTTAGAGAAAGTCATCATTTGACCCCTGTGAGATTTCTTCCCTGTTGTGCTTCAGGTCTCAAAGAGCTTCCCCAGATAAATTACAGGCCATTAATTGTTACCACCAATTATACTGGCAGACATCAAAATGATTTTATTAAAGAGCTGTCCAAAGATGTAAAAGCCTATCTTGACAAGCATGCAGCCATGGGCAGTGTAATCACTCGGGAGGCATGATATAGAGGGAATTGAGGCACATGTGGAACCTTTGGTCTAGTCTGACTTTCATCACTTTGTGCAACAGAATATAGAATTGGGAAACTCCATCTAGGAAGCAGAATTCTGATCACCTGTATACAGTTCCAAAGCAAGGGTTTGAATTAATCATTTCTGCATTTCCAAGACCTAACATGGCATGATGTGGAAGCAATAGATATGTATGGACTTGGATCTAATTCTGAATAATTGATTATAATTATCATACTCCAGGGAAATTTGTAAGGGCTGCCACACTGAGGTTGTGCTTGCAAATATGAAGTGCAAATTGGAATTAATTATCCTGGTCTTTTTTAGGGAAATACTTTCTTTTGTCAATCCAGATGAGTGATGAAAAAGTACCTTCTGGATTTGAATTAGCTGGATAATTCTTGACTTTGCTCAAGCTTTAAACTGGTAGGAGCTTTAATGGCTATTAATTAGTGTGAAAGCTTTTTATTTTCTGAAAAAACTTTTTTTTTAAAAAAAAAAGAGAAATCCATCTTGATTGACAGATGGATTCCTCTGTTTTATGTTTTATTGTTTTTGAAGAAAGGAACTTTGATTTCCTGCCAGGGAGCTTTCATAAAAGGACCTTAGCATGCTGAGCCCTGATTAAACATCAGGGAGACATGATGATTCTTTTGTATAGCTCTCCCCTCAAAGGTGAAGAGGCCTAAATTACAGTGACTGTAAGAGAGGTATCTGCTGAAGGACCATGTTCAGCTATAGGAAAAATTGGCCGTGGCATAGACAGCAGTAAGATTGGGATGCGAATGTAATTTTCCTCTATCTTATGAATATTTAAAGAAAATTTGTAGAAGCAAGGGCCATATTGCTACTTTATTTATTTATTTATTTATTATTTTTGAGATGGAGTCTAACTTTGTTTCCCAGGCTGGAGTGCAGTGGCACAATCTCGGCTCACTGCAACCTCTGCCTCCTGGGTTCAAGTGAATCTCCTGCCTCAGTCTCCGGAGTAGCTGGGATTACAGGCACCCGCAACCATAGCCAGATACTTTTTTTTTGTATTTTTAGTAGAGACAGGTTTTCACCATTTGGTCAGATTGGTCTTGAACTCCTGACGTCAAGTAATACATCCGCCTTGGCCTCCCAAATTGCTGGGATTATAGGTGTGAGCCACCATGCCCAGCCCATAATGCTACTTTAGAGAAGAGAATATCCGGTTAAGCTAGAGAGTGATATAGAGAATTTACCCACATAACTGAAAACTTTTTATAAGATAAAATAGAATTTAATTTTTATTTTTTTTTAAGGATCCTGCTAATTTTAGCAGATTTTATTTATGCCACATGACAAGTGTTTGTGTAATTAAACAGCTCACTTTGTTCTGAGTTTACTATGTTTGCTTCCCAATCTTTTATTGTGGAAGTCCTACTTATTAACCCTGCCTTCCCAAATCAGTTATGAAGATAAAGGTGTAAACTAAAAAACAAAGCTGGTTTATGAGCAAGGTTGAGTACCAGAAGGAATGGAGTTCCCTAAATTATAAGAGTTTAATCTCCAGTTTTAATCCGTAGATGTACCCTGACTGCCACTTATTAGTCACGTGGCCTTGGGCAAGGTTTTAACTACTCTGAATCTCAGTAAAAGTATATAAATGAGATAATAATATTTACCCGGAAGAGGGGTTGTGACAACTCAGTAAGATAAAGTGCATAAAGGGCCGAGCATGCTCTGGATTTTATGGCATTGCGTGTGGCGACAGTATTGTAATGTAATGACTTAAAAATAAAACTAACCAAGGAGATTCTAATCGATGATTGGATCATTGTGCTCCCTGTTAGGCCAAGAGATAAAAATAAATTACTAGAGAATTTTTGGGTCAATGGCAATTCTTCTTTTAGCAAGTATAAGATGAATATGATCATATATCCTTTACTTACTTTTGGCTTGACACAAAACATATGCCTAAGCTGATCAAGAATTGCTTAGAAAGTAAACGCCAAATTATTTTTTCTGTTTCTCTTTTTTTCTTGCCTTCATAAACTGAATTATTAATATCCTATCTGCTGTAATTTTTATTTTCTGTGTAAAGGAGAATGGTCGTAGTCTAAATATCCACCTCTGAGAACTTAAAGGTGGGTCAAATGTTCTAAAATTACAACACCTTTGCTAAAATGTCAATTCTGACTATTAAAAGTGAATATTAACTATGTTGAGATCAACTTAATATGCTAAAAATGAACTATATTTGGGTTGCTATTAATTAATGAGAAATAGAACAAATTAAGTTCAAGAACATTAAAAATCTACCCAACTTTACATATTTATTTACTTAGTCATTATTTATTTATTTTAAATGATAGACTTTGTGTCTTCGATTTACAAAAAAATTGATTGGGAAGTTCAGAGGTTCCATAAACTCCCTCTCACCCTTGCCTTTAGTTTCCCCTAATTAACGTCTTGCATTGATAATACTGTAAACCAAAAACAAAATTCTAAGCCCCTCAACTGACTGATGGACCCCCTCTTGGCCATGAGTATTCCAAAGTAAACTTGAAAAGGGAGTTCAAGCCAGGATGCGAAGAGGGGTCCAGTGTGCCTCATTATACTCTCCTCTCTTTGGAACTCAGACACAACTGATCAGCATTAAAGTTAAAACAGAGATCTTAAGACTGAGAAAACAGATTCCTTGTAGCAATAAGATACCAAATTCCAACCTAATAATAATAAATCTAAGTGACTTTTATTATAAATAATAAATTGGTTTTTACATATGGATTCATAGTTGTCACCAAATCAATACATCTTTACAAGTAAATCACAGCTTGGGTTCAAACAGATTCAACTGCAAATCTTAAAGAAATATATTGACCTCATAATAAGCTAAACTGTACTTATTCTCACTTAACCACTTTGTGAAACAGTTTATCTGCTGGTTATTTTTAAAGGAAGTAACATATTATGTAGCATCTACAGTTTAATGATGTACATTCTAGAGCATTTGTCCTTAACCCCAGCAGCAGGTTACCACCACTTGGAAAGCTTTTTACCAGAATATCCAGAGCCTGTCTCCCCTGCAGGGATTCTGATTGAAAGAGTCACTCCACCTCCCTCCTCTTTCTCAGGTAGTGCGGAGTTTCCCCAGGTGATTGCAATGTAGACCCAGCATTAGGACCAACTACATTTGGGTCTTAAAAACCTCAAAACTGATTGAAGCCAAGAGATATTAAAACAAATTATTTGAAATAGCTGTATAAAAATCCATCATAAAGAATTGAGTGCTTTATTTTAAAACATAAAAGCTCATGGCTTATCAAATATTGTTCCCAAATTATAAAAACATGAAGCAAATATAGGAATAACATGAAACTGCCCTCCCTGCCCTACCCTTATGGGTACATGGGTACATTCCATGCAGTAGCAAAAATGTATAAATATCCTAAATGTCCACCAATAGAGAAGTGATTGAATAGGTGTCATGTATAATCATAATAAGAGCCGTAATAGTATTTTAAAAGGTTTAAATTTTAAATATATCTCTATGTACTGAAATGAATTATAAACATTATCAGTTAGAAAGTAATAAGACAAGTTAAAGAACAATTTTTTTTTGAGAGTTTAGCTCTGTCACCAGGCTGGAGTGAAGTGGAATGATCATGGCTCACTGCAACCTGGCCCTCCAGGGCCCAAGTGATCCTCCCACCTGAGCCTTCCAAGTAGCTGGGGCCACAGTCACACACTACCATGCCTAGCTAATTTTTAAATTTATTTGATTTGTAGAGACAAAGTCTTGCTATGTTGCCCAGTCTGTCTTGAACTTCTGGGCACGCGCAGTTCTCCCACCTTGACCTCCCAAAGTGTTGGGATTACAGGTGTGAGCCACCACAGGGCTGAGTCACTTTTTTTTAAATTGACTTTTCTGTCAAGCAGAGTGGCCTACGTCATGACATGGAAAATTTAGTCAATTATGGTGAACAACCTAATAAATATTTAATTTTGTGTGCAGACAACCTCCCTCTCCATCTGTTCTTCTCCTCCTCAATGTTTCTAAAATCCCTGCAATACCAATCTAACAAAAGTTGGATTCCTCTCAAATGGACCTTGATCATGTGCCTAAGAATTAAAACATAATAATCCTTTGAGAAACATCTATGAAAGATGCAGTATGAAATGTTGAGAAGTGAGTTTGTAGCTTCCATACCATGCTTCGGTTGAATTTCATTTCCAAATACCCAGCGGCCGTTTTGCATGGTGTAGCTGGGCTATGGAGCCCAGGCTCCTCATGATGGGTTGGGTGACTGAAACACATTTTTTTCTTTTAGGTGATAACCAGCTCCTTCATCAGGCTTCTCTTTCCCAAGTTTAGGAAGAAGTTGACTACAATGTATTTCCCTAGCATGCCTGTTCCCTTGAACAAAGGCAGGTTCAGGAGTGTAGTGAAGCTCCAGGCTCCAAAAACTCTTTCACTCTCATTGCACTCTATCCAATGTTTCTTAATGCTAGGCACAGCAGAATCACCTCAGTTTATTCCTCAAAAATGATGGTTGAATTTATCTGGCCAGGCATTGGTAGTTTACAGAAGTCTACCAGATGATTCTAATGTGTGGTCAAGACTGAGAACTATGTGTTTAATTGGGTTCATTTCAAGAATACTGTAAAAATTTTATCTAAATACTAAATATCCATAAAAGAAACCTCGGTAATCAGGCCAGGTTTTTGAGTTTTTCCAGATTAGCCCAACTACAGGGGAAAGAGACTTTCGCACTATATCCCAGAGTCTCTGCTCCTGCTTCCAGCCTCAATGCACTGGGCCTTTCTGCTGCCTTGGAGCACTTAGAGGGATTACAGGAGGAGTGATCTGTGGAGTTTTATCTGCTGTAGACAGGACCTCTCAGTGATGCATGCAGTCACTGCCCAGGGTGCAGCTGGGGAAGTCACATACCGTTTCAACTCAAACTGGTACACTGCAATTCAGTTCTCATAACCATCTGGAGTTAGTGCAGACCCCATAAGTTAAAGAGTATGGTCTCCAGCAAGATGGTCCTCGCTTCATACTCAGAGGCTGCAAATCCCTGAGCTTCCCATGACGTTCCTGAAGCTCAAAAATTCACTAGAATGACACAGAATTCAGGAAAGCATTATACTTACAGTTTTATTGTAGAAGATACAACTCAGGAGCAGCTGAATGAAGAGACACACAGGGCAGTTTCTGAGAGGGTCTCAAACAGAGCTTTTGTGCTCTCTTCTTGTAGAATAAGGGCTTGTCACTATTACCTGGAAAAAAAAAAAAAGAAAAAGGAAACAAAAAGACAAAAAACTTGGTTCATTTGCCTGGCAAGTAACAAACGACTCTCCAGGAGAACATAGGTTTTGATCTATAGGAGTTTTATTACTTGTCCCAAGGTAGGAGAACACCGGGAATATTCTCCAAAGCAGTGTCTCCCCGAGGAAAAGTGACAGGTGGGTTTTATGGAGTTGTGGAGAGGGGAGAAGGTGCATCATCGCATGTAGAGGAGGGGCACCAGTGGTGCAGACTGAGACATTATGCCAGCACATAGGTTACATGTTATGGTGATGAATCTGTAGCTCCTCCCAGCGTAGAGACTTTAGCATGGTAATGAGGAAGCTTCACTCAGATTCATCTATAAGTTGCTGGGGTCTGTCTGGAACTGGTTCCAGCTGACTAGGTGACTGCATTCCATGGACGGTTTGTAAAAAACAGGCTGAAAAGTGGGAGGCTATAAAACAGGCTGATTGTTCAAGCTGGTTAAACTTCTATAGTCCCTGGAGACCCTCCCTGTCTGCTTACATCACTTTCCTGGCACATTGATGTATTCACCAAGCGGGAAGTTTCAGCAAACTTCCCTGTTCATTACATAGATGTAATTGATTAAACATTGGCCCCATTATTGAACTCAAGCTCCAACTCCCTCACTTTTCTGGAGGTCAGGCTGGTTCAGAGCTTTAACTCTCTAATTACATGTTAGGTCTTTCTGTTGACCAGCTTCCATTCTCAGTCATCTCATCTCATGAGCATAAACTCAAAAGTTTGATCCAAGGGATCATGAATATCAAAGACTCTTCTATTACCTGGGAAATTCCAAGGATATAGATTCTGTCTTCCAGGAACCAGGTTCAAAGGCCAGTTAAATTCTTTATTATGCAACAAAAGATTTCCCTGAAACCAGACTTAGAAGTCTTGAAAGAGATGGGGGATTCAATTTCCACACAATCCCTGGGCTCTAGAACAAAGGCTGTCATCACTGTCCTCCCCTGGTCCACCATTTTGGGTTGTGGTCCCTCTCTCTCCTTGGGAACTTTTTCAAGAATCAGTATTCAGTCTTCCAGGGGCTCTTCATTTTACTTCTATACCTTGAGATTTATCACCTGACGGTGCCTATTCTTGGATTTCCACACCCACACTCTTTTTACTATTCATTCTCTAAAAGCCCAACTAAACAAAACACAATCAGATGAACCTCATCGTTCCCCCTTTTCCCAATAGTACTTAATTGCCCATTAACAGGAGATGAAGTTTCGGAAGATACTCACTCCCATTCTTAGAGAGAAGGAAGTGTTTATTCTGCATGCACTTTTAAGAAACCAGGCAGAAAGCTTTTTTGTTTCATTGTTCAGGAGAGATTATGACTAAAAACAATGCCATTACATCTCCCATTAAAAAGAGTCTGAACTCTGGGCAATTCAGGATAAGGCACGTGTATAAGCCATTCTTGTGTTGCTATAAAGAAATACCTGAGACTGGCTAATTTATAAATAAAAGAGACTTAATTGGCTCATAGTTCTGCAGGTTTTATAGAAAGCTGGATGCTGATATCTCTTGGCTTCTGTGGAGGTCTCAGGAAGCTAACAGTCATGGTGGAAGGAGGTGAAGCAGGAGCAAACACGTCAGATGGTGAAAGCAGGAGAGAGAGATTGAGAGAGAGGAGAGAGAGAGAGAGGAGAGAGAGATTGAGAGAAAGAGAGAGAGAGAGAGATTGAGAGAGAGGAGAGAGAGGAGAGAGAGAGAGAGAGGAAGTGCCATACACTTTTTAATGACCAGATCTTGTGAGAACTCACGTCATGAAGACAGCACCAAGCCATGAGTGACCCACCTCCATGATCCACACACCTCCACCAGGTTCTGCCCCCCAGCATTGGGGATTTCAATTCTACATGAGGTTTAGCTGGGGACAAATATCCCAACTATATCAGCATGTAATCTACTGCTTGACATAGGTAAGAAGTAATTCTTCACAATTATTTCAAAACCATTTCTGAATTTACTTTGGAATCTAAAGTTAATTTGGAACAATATATTTTATCAAATTAGCTCCAAAGCGATATTTACTCATGCATCATCCCTCTGAAATGTACTCTGCAGGTTGTATGTTGTACAATCTTAAGTATTTCAATTACCTTTAAGCAAAAACAGTACAAGAAAGGATTAGTCATTGCTGAAAATATTATAGATCACATAGATTCATTTCCAGTTTTCAGTGTTGTTTTTTAAGATAGTAGGTGTTTGATAGCTTCTAGTCACCGTCCAAAGGGTCATGGTCTTTCTGATCTTTTTGTTCAGAAATTTGTTCTTTCTGGTCAGGCACGGTGGCTCATGCCTGTAATCCCAGCACTTTGGGAGGCCAAGGCGGGTGAATCACAAGGTGAGGAGTTCAAGACCAGCCTGGCCAAGATGGTGAAACCCCATCTCTACTAAAAGTACAAGAAAGTTAGCCAGGCGTGATGGTGGGCACCTGTAATCCCAGCTACTTGGGAGGCTGAGGCAGAGAATTGCTTGAACCCGGGAGGCAGAGGTTGCAGTGAGCTGAGATCGTGCCACTGCACTCCAGCCTGGGCAACAGAGCAACGCTCCATCTCAAAAAAAAAAAAAAAAAAGAAAAGAAAAAAAGAAATTTGTTCTTTCTGATCACATATGACTCAGGATATAATGAAAGAGGATCAAGCCTCTAAGAAGGGTGGACTGAAGCTAGCACAACAATATGCCTGCTATATGACCATGGCAGACTTCTTCCTAGAATCCTTCAGATCCACGATCTTATCTAATTATGTATAATTCCCACAGCAGCTCTGCAAGATAGATACTTATGTCCCAATTTTGTAGATCAGAAAATTGAAGTTAAGGAGATATGTTCATTAATGAATAAGATGGTAAGTAGTAGACATAGGATTCAATTATTATTATTATTTTATTATTATACTTTAAGTTTTAGGGTACATGTGCACATCGTGCAGGTTTGTTACATATGTGTATACATGTGCCATGTTGGTGTGTTGCACCCATTAACTCATCATTTAGCATTAGGTATATCACTTAATGCTAGGGATTCAATTATTTTGATAATTCAAGTTTCTTCCAAAGTGTCCTATGAGTAATTGTTTCTACGGTACTCTATACAACATATACTTTCAGGCACCTCTTCTCAGTTGGTAAGTTTGTAAAGTGTTTTCCTGATTGGTACAAGATGAAAGTGTATGCCCAGCAGGTTATTAAAGGTAAGCTAACTATAAGAGTCATTCATTCAGTATATTTTTTATAGAGTAGCCTGTATTTCTGCTACAAATGATGTTGGCATATATGAATTACACTCATTGTTTTTTCTATTTAATAAACACTGAATTATGTTATTCTACAATAATGGCATGGTGAAGATGGTTAAAAGTAGTGACAGAAAAATTTGACTTTTTAGAAGCCTCTAATTTGTGAAATTAAAGGAATGATTTCTTCTACCATGAGGTCATAGATATTGAAAACCATTTGGATATTGTTTAAACCAGTTTAATTTTATATAATTTATTTCATGAGCTTTCAAGTCCGTATCTCCAATGATCATACCAGACAGATCCCCAATTCAGAAGTTATCTTGCCTCTGACAGTGCTTACAACAACTAATAACCAGGTTCAATGACAGTGATCCAGTTTCGGCAGGTACTATAATTGCAGATTATACTGTTCATGGTTTCTTCTTTGTGTGAATAGTAAGTGTATGAAATCTTCAGTCAACATTTCCTTTTCTGTTGCATAAACAGTGCTGAAAGCTTAATGATCAGCTGGAGAAGAGGCGTAATGAATAGTTGCAGCATTGTTCATTAAACACCGTGGTGGTTCTTTCTTTGCCATCATTTCATCTGTGCTTGAATTTTGCATTTCCTTCTATTCTGTCATTCTCCTTAAGCATCGGACACTCCCTCCGTGGTAATTGCTGTGACACACATAAAGCTTCTATCATACAACAATGGAAATGTCTCTCCTTCTCCTTGAGCTCATTTTATTGGAGACACTGTACTTTTGAGGATGGCAAATCTATGGAAAGTGACTCATCCAAGCATACTGTAATAGATGGAGAGATTTCTTTAGATATATGTGGCCTTTTGTACAATTAAGCACTGTATTGCTTTTCAGTAAATTAAGAGTAAAATTTTAAGTAAATTGGGTTTGGAATTGGGATTTGCAATTTTTTGCTATAATTTATTTTAGATCACCTATTACTTTTTTGGTAATTTTGTTTCTACTCTTACATACCTTGTGTTCTACATATTGACAAATCATGCTCTATTTGATGAATTACATCTTTAAGTTATTGGTATGTTACTATAGGTAATGTTTTTGTATCATCTTCAGTAGCCTGTTAGCATATTATGACAACATGCTATTCCTATCTCCCCAGGGCCAAGCCTCAATTAACTGCTGACACTAAGAGGCCTTCACTCCAGAAGTAGATTCCAAAACACATGTTGCAATGAATAGAACTACTTTGTATTTCACCCAAAACATTTAAGCCATGGCTGTTTATTACATTGTGTTATTTTATTCATGGATTAAAGCTTTGGAATTTGGTAAAGGAAAAGATTCCCAGAGACTGCTATTGAAATTTCCTAGTACCCTTTGGTTTAAAGTGTAGAGGAACAATTTTCCAGATAAATATGGAATTCGCTTTTTTATGTTGTTCTTTAGAGAGCTTTAGCCTATTTGGCACTAAGTATAATTATCTGCAAATATGAGTTTGTTTGGCAAGATATTCATGTGTCCTTAGGTATTAATATGTCATTTTGGGGAAAAAATAACTCAATGGAGTTCTGTCATTATATGAATAATTTGTGATGAGTAATTTCCTAAGCAACATCAGAAGCACCAGATGACGATTTTTGTTTTTAGTTTGCAAAATGCATTTATTGTATAAGGATGAAAGGTAAGTAAGGAAAAGATAGGTTTTAGTAGCTGAGAAACTTTAGAGTCAGGTTATACTTAGGTGGATTTAATTGCCATACTTTGTTATAGTGGCTAAAGTAGCCCATTTGTCATCTGTGACCTATTTCAGGGAACAACAACAACAACAACAACAAAGAAACTGTGGATAACATCACCCCCTCCCCACCTTTGTTGTTCTTCTTGATGCCTATTTGACAGAAGGATTGAGCACTTTCTGTTTCTGTTGCATGGGCCACTCTCTCTGAGACTTCTCCCACAGTATTCATATCCCTGCTTCAGGACCACCTCCTCTGAGGAGCCTTCCTGACCAACCTGTATAACCCTTTGTTACACAACCCTTTGTTCCTCCTTGGAGTCACTTTCACTGTCCAGCTTCTCAATTTACCCAGCTTTTTTTCATTATACTTTTCAGTGCCTGAACACACACACACACACACACACACACACACACACACACACACACACACAGTTTCCTGTGTTAAAATGGTTAAAATGTCAGCTCTCTGGGGGGAAGGAACTGGTTTGTCTTACCCAGTGTTATGTCCCCAATTGCACAGCAGTGGCGTGTTTCAGTTATGGTCCTGCCTGTGTTCACCATGTAAGTGGGCAGACATGATAGAAGGAGATCTATTATACTTCCTTGTGTTATGTGCCTATGGAATAGAGGGAACAGTGGAGAAAGTGAATAATTATACCTGGGACCTGGGGAAAAAACTGAAATGAGAACTGACATGTTAATATATGTCAAAAGATTGAGAAGAGGCTGGGGAGAAATATAAGAAAGGAGAATTTCACTCGGAGTAACTTGGATAAAATCTCTGAGTTTGAAAAGAGTATGGAACATTCAAGAAACAGTGAACCAAACTGTGATTGGAGTTCTATTCCCAACAGTTGCATAAGGGAAACTGAAATGAGGTGGGTCTGGAGAGGTAGCTTAGAATTAGGTTTTGAAGGAGTCTCTGTAGGTTACTAAGCATGATCAGCTTGGTGTTTTATGACTGTATTCTGATAACTGTGAAAGATGGATGGGAGGGAAGCAGGAAAGGGGTCAGGAAGTAGACAGTGTAAGTGAGGATGGTTGTGTGTACAGAAGTGAGTGGGAGAACCACAGATGGCTCACAAGAGAACATGTGAGAGAGACCCTGTGTCAGCTACAGTTTGTATTAGTTGGTTGATTAGGGATATTATTTTGGTTTTGCTCCGTAAGGTGGTTGGGGCCGAAGCTCTTTCTAACTCACCACCCTGCTATAGTCAGGGTATGGGCCTTGCTGTCATGGTCCAAAATGGTGATTAGTGCTTTACCCTCCACATCTGTTCTAGGCAGCATGAGGGTAGGGTCCAAAAGATGAGGGGAGGGGAAGCCATGTGTAAATTGTGTTTAAAAAATTATTATAAAAAACACATAAAAAATTAATCATCATGTCATGTGTACAGTACACTAATGTTGACTCTATGCACATTGTTGTGCAACAGATCTCTACAACTTTTCCATCTTTTGCAGAACTGAACCTCAGTTCCCTTTGAAAAGTTAGACTACTTTAGATAACTCACAAACATGAAATCGTGAAACATTTGTCTTTCTGTGGCTGGCTTATTTCGCTTCACATAATGTCCTCAAGGTTCATCCATGTTGTAGCATATAACAGGATTTTCTTCTTTTTTAAGGCTGAACGAATTCTATTGTATGCATAGAAAACGTGTTCTTTAACCATTCATCCACGGATGGACATTTAGGTTGCTTCCACCTCTTGGCTATTGTGAGTAATGCTGCAGTGAACATGGGTGTGCAAATGTCTCCTTGAGGTCCTGTTTTCAGTTCTTTTGAATATATACTCAGGAATGGGATAGCTAGAGGATATGGGTAATTTATTTATTTTTTTTGAAGAACCTCCGTATGTTTCCATAGCAGCTACACCATTTTACATTCACAACAGTGCACAAGGGTTCCAATTTCTCCACATTCTTACCAACATTTATTATTATTATTATTTTTAATAATGGCCATGATATCTCATTGTGGTTTTGATTTGCATTTCTCTAAAGATTAGTGATGTTGATAATCTTTTAATATGCTTGTGGGCCATTTGGATATCTTCTTTGGAAAGGTATTTATTCAAGTTGTTTGCACATTTTTTATGGAGTTATTTTGTTGTTGTTGAGTTGTAGGAGTTCTTTATATGTTCTGGATATTAACCCTTTATTAGATATATGATTTGCAAATATCTTCTCTCATCCTCTAGGTTGCCTTTCACTGTGTTGACTGCTTTCCTGTGCAGAAGTTTTCAAGTTTGATGTAATCCCATTTGTCTGTTTTACTATTGCTGCCTGTGCTTTTGGTGTGATAGCCAAGAAATATCGCCAAATCTAATGTTATAAAGCTTCTCCCCTGATTCATCCAGTAGTTTTATAGTTTCTGGGCTTATGTTAAAGACCTTAACCCATTTTTAACTAATTTTTATATATGATGTAAGGCTAGAGTCCAACTTTGTTCTTTTCCATGTGGGTATCCAGTTTTCCTGATACCATTTGTTGAAGAGACAGTCCTTTCCCTGTTGTGTAGTCTTGACACTCTTGTTGAATATCATTTGGTCATAAGACCTGAGAGTTTATTTCTGGGCTGTTTCATTCTACTGCTCTGTATGTCTTTCTTTATGCCAGTACTGTTTTGATTAGTGTAGCCTGGTAATATGTTTTGAAATCAGGAATCATGAGGCTTGCAGCTTTGCTTTTCTTTCTTTGTTTTGGCTATTCAGGATTCTTTTAGATGTCATAAGAATTTTGAAATTAAAAAAAAAATTTCTGCAAAATGCCATTTGGATTTTGAAAGGGATTTCAATGAATCAGATCTCTTTGGGTAGTATAGACATTTTAACAATATTAAGTCTTACAATCCATGGCCATGGGATATCATGCCATTTATTTGTGTGTGTGTGTGTTTTTTTTTTTCCAGCAATGTCTTATAGCTTTCAGTGTACAAATTTTTGCCTCCCTGGTTAAGTTTCTTTTCAAGTATTTTATTCTCCTTGATGATATTGTAAATGGAATTGTTTTCTTAATTTTCTTTTTTGTTTGTTCATTGTTAGTGTGTAGAAACACAGACAATTTTTTAATGTTGATTTTGTACGCTGCAACTTTGCTGAATTCGTTTATGAGTTCTGACAGTGTGTGTGTGTGTGTGTGTGTGCATGCATGCATGCATGCAAAAATTTTAAGGTTTTCTACTTATAAAATCATGCCATCTGTGAACAGAGATCATTTCACTTCTTCCTTTTCACCTGTTGGTGCCTTTTAGTTGTTTTTCTTGTCTAATTGCTCTGGTTAGGACTTCCAGTACTATGCTGAATAGAAGTGGTGAGAGTGGGTATCCTTGCCTTCTTCCTGATCATAGGGGAAAAGCTTTGAATTTTTTCTTGTTGAGTATAATGTTAACTGTGAAATTTTCATATATAGCCTTTAATATGCTGGGTAATTTTCTTCTATTCCTAGTTTGTTGAGCGTTTTTATCATGAAAGGGTACTTAATTTTGTCAAATTCTTTTACTGTATCCATTGAGGTGACCATGAGATTCATTGTCCTTTATTTTACTAATGTAGCATATCCCATTGATTGATTTTTCATATGTTGAACCATCCTTGCATCCCAAGGATAGACCTCATTTGGTAATGGTGTGTAATCTTTTTAATGTGCTGTTGAATTCAGTTTGCTAGTATTTTTTTAGGGATTTTGAGGATTTTTGCATCAATATTTATCATAGATATTGGTCTATAGTTTTATTTTATGGTAGTTTCTTTGTCTTGTTTTGGTATTAGGGTAAAAATGGCCTCATAAAGTAAGTTTGAATGTTTCCTCTTCAAGTTTTTAGAAGAGTTTGGGAAAGGCTGGTGTTAATTCTTCCTTCAGTGTTTGCCAGAATTCTCCAGTGATGCTGTTTAGTCTTGGGCTTTTGTTGTTGTTGTTAGGAGATTTTTTTATTACTCATTCAATAATCTTACTAGTTATAGAGCTGTTCAGATTTTCATATTTTCATGTTCAGTCTTGGTAAGTTGTATGTTTCTAGGAATTTATCACTTTCTTCTAGGTTTCCCCGTTGCTGGTGTATGATTAGTTATAGCAATATCTTATTCATCTCATTATTTCTGTGGCATCAGTTGTAATGCCTCCTCTTTCATTTCTGGTTTTTGTTATTTGAGTCTTCTCTCTTTTTTCTTAGTCTAGCTAAGGGTGTGTCACTTTTGTTGATCTTATTAAAAAAAAAAAACCCAAATCTTACTCTTGTTGATTTTTTCCTATTGTGTTTCTAGTCTCTATTTCATTTATTTCTGCTATGATCTTTATTATTTTTTCATTCTGCTAACTTTGAGTCTAGTTTTTCTTCTTCTTTTTCCAGTTCCTTGATGTATAAAGTCATGTTGTTGATTTGATTTTTTTTATAGAAATATAGGCATTTTACTGTTACAAACTTCTTTTATATTAATGCCTTTGCTATATCCCATGGATTTTGGTATGCTGTGTTTTCATTGTAATTTGTCTCAAGATACTTTCTAAGTTCTTTTATGATTTATTTTTGACTCATTCATTGTTCAAGAATGTATTATTTTCATCTATTTGTGAATTTTCCAGTTTTCCTTTTGCTGTCGATTTCTAGTTTTATTACATTATAGTCAGAAAAAGATGCTTAATATTAGTTCAGTCTTCTTAAATGTGTTAAGACTTGTTTTGTGCTATAGGATATGATTTATCTTGGAGAGTGTTTTGCATATGCTTGAGAAGAATGTGTATTCTGCTCTTATTCTGTGGAGACCTCTGTATATGTCTCTTGGGTCCAGTTGGTTTGCAGTGTTGTTCACATCCTTTGTTTCCTTATTTATCTTCTCTCTGATTATTAATGAGTTGTCTTTTTTGTTTTTTAGAGTCAGTTTCACTCTATTTCCCAGGCTGGGGTACAATACATAATCATAGCTCAATGCAGCCTTGAACTGCTAGGCTCAAACTATCCTCCTGCCTTAGCCTCCTAGGTAGCTGGGACTATAAGTGTATGCCACTATGCTCAGCTGATGGTTTATTTTTATTTTTATTTTTTGAGGAGATGGGGGTCTCATTATGTTGTGCAGGCTCCTAGTCTTGAACTCCTAGCCTCAAGCAATTCTCTCACCTTGGCCTACATGAGTTGTCTTTTAAGGAGTGTTTGCAGAAGCTCTTTGCAGTACATTGGCTGAATCTCATTAGCTCTCTTTGGTCATGCTTACATGCAAAAAGGCTGGAAAATGTAGTCCAATTCCAGGTATCGTGCACCTCTAAAAATAAGGATTATATTCAGAAAAAGTGAAGAATAGATAATGGGGAGCAGACTGCATTGGGTCTAACATATTAGATCAGAATCTAATATTTTTAAGGTACCGAATGTATATCCTATCACATCTTGATTTGGATGAGGCTTTTCATTTTATAGATGGAGGAAACTCTGAAGCCTTCCCTTGTGTGTCTGTGATATATGAGCTTTTAACTTCTCATTTATGAAGTTACAATAGATATATAATTCTTACCTTATTGTGTGTTCTCTAAGAAGCACAGTAAAAATAAAATGAAGCTTTAAAAGTTTAAAATGATACTGCAGGGAATTCAAGATGAAAAAGATATACAATGCCAAATTACTTCCACCCATGTTGTTACATACCCTATTAACAGCATGCACAAGAGACAATTCTATTTCTAGATTTTAGCACCCCATTTCATAATTTTTACTTGTGACGACCAGAGAATATGAAGTAGGAAGATGGCCTGTGGGGAGATATTATGCATTTTTGTTATTGAATCTCACCACTAAAAATTGTGTTTAGTAATCACTTCTCCATCACCTAAAAATTGGTAACAGGTAAAATTGAAACAAATTTCAGTAAGATAATTTTGTCATTGGGTACCTCACTTGAAATGTGCATTTCTGAGTGGAGAGGAAGATGGATGATTCTAGGCAATTTATACTAATTTCTACGTGTGCATCTATTAATTTTTGAAGAAATACTGTTAGCGAAAACTGTAAATGTATAAAGTGGTTCTGATCACAGTGGAGGAATGGAATAAAAATTAAATTGAAAGCCTCTCATGTCAGGCTAAGAGATCGTTTTAAAATCATCATGCTTATTTACAAAAGCTCTGTGAAACTGGTCTAAGTTAAAGAAGAAAGAAAATGAGTTTTAGATTAGAAGTGAGTTATGGCCCCTGCTTTTCCTAGCAGTATGTCCAGTTTATTCACAGTGTTCTCCGCAGTTCTGGGGCATTCTGGGGAAATCTGTTCAGGAATAACCCATGATATCTTCTTGGGGCTTGGAGAGAGTGGTAAACAGACATACTGTGGGTCAAACTTTGGGATATCCATCCTCTTTCAACCACAGAGTTAGACATTGATTTTTACATATTGAACTTCTGCATTAGCATTTCCCTGGAAAAATAAGTAGTTCTGAGGCAAAAGAAACAAACCATTGGACTAAATCATGCTGCTTTTATCTCTCCTCCAACAGAAGACTACATTTTAGAAGTCATTTTATCAAACTTTAGATCTTCTCATCCTTTTCCTTCCCACCACCTCTTTGTAGGCCTAAAATTTCATGAGTTATTCCTATACTTTAAAATATATGCTTGGTAAAGGAAGATTTATCTTTGAGCAAATGAATAATTCAGAGGCTAGAATTTCCCTGAGATTAGTTTACAAAGTGAAGACTCCAACCCAGAATTCAAATTTCTAGGGCAGAAAAGATGTTTGTGCTGTTTCCTCCACATAACAGAAATGCGACTGCGTTTTAGTGCTCATTGTGAACACGTTCTTGGAAAAAAGAGGTGGAATGCAAGTCCCAGCAGAATAGGCACATTGTATATGACAGATGCTACCCGCTTTCTGAAAAGACTCATAGTCCTCAGTTTTTGATGTAAGTAGGACTCATTACATCAAATCTCTCTTTAAGTTTTAAATAAACATAAAGTTGTTTCCAAAATAATACACCCCCTCTATAATTAGGTGGAGAAAACAACTGTTATCAGCCGTTGACTACACAAGATCTATATCAGTCCTTGATGCCTTCCTTGAAAATTCCATTTTTCTTATACATGCTTTGGATTATCTTAAAATTAGCTAGATTTGTTTTACATTGTGAAGATAAAGATTTCTCAAGTTTCCCAACTCTGTTGAGTCAACATTGAGCCCCTTATCTTTCCTCAATTCACTGATCTAGCTGCAATTTCTCATGCAATTTCCAATTTTGTTTATGCCGTTTGAGGACCTCACATATACCAGGTGGACTTTCACATTATACTAACACATAAGGACTACGAGGACAGCAATAACTGTATCCAGATAGCCAATGAATAGTGAATTCAGCTATGATATAATTATCAAAATATAAATGTACAAGTGATTCTTTGATTAGTCTTTTGAGGATTAATAACGAAAGAACCTAGAAACATTAATATTAATCACATTAGTTTTTAGAACATTAAAGTTAGAGTCTTCTAAATAAGAACATTTTCTACCGGCCAGTTTGTGTTTTCTCCCTATAACCTCTATTTTTGTGTCACATAATTTACCTTATCACATGGACATATTTTACACTTTACATCTCTTATTTATTTAAATTACACAAGTAGTAGTTGCATTAATTGCTGGGCATGGTGGCTCATGCCTGTAATCCTAGCAACTCTGGAGGCTGAGGCAGGAGGATTGCTTGAGAGCTCAAGACTAGCCTGGACAACATAGAAAGACCATGTTTCTACAAACATGAAAAAAATAGCCAGGTATGGTGACACATGTCTGTAGTTTCAGTTACTCAGGAGGCTGAGGCAGGAGGACTACTTGTGCCCAGGACTTTGAGGCTGCAGTGGGCTGTGATCTTGCCATTGCACTCCATCCTGGGCTACTCTTAAAAAATAATAATAATTTGACGCATTAAGTTTTTGGGTTGTATGTGCCATCTTTAACAATTCAGGCTTCCCCCTTACTAATCTTGTGGAAAGCATCTCCTGAAATAATCTCTTCCAATTTCCGACTAAAATGGCATTGAAGAGAGAAAAAGATGAAATCTTGCAACTTCCATCCCATTTCCATTGCATACCAGCAGGCAGCCTACTGCCTGGATCTGAAAGGGGATCAATGTAAAGATACTCTGCCTAGATTGTGAATAAAGCAGAAGTGACTTAACTTTCATAAGACCCATAAAGTAGACCAGTCACACTGCCCCAAGAAAGGAAGAAAAACATTTCAGGCCATTGTTGTTTGCTGCTGGCCTCTGAGGCCAAAGGCTTCATCAGCTAGAAAACAATGTATCTCTTACCATTACAATCGTGGTGCTTTATACTGTAGTTAAGGTACATTCTTCCACTGATGATTTTTTTCTTACATTTACTCACAGCTTCCACCTCCAAGAGGAAAGTGGGGGGTGCTCTGAGGAAGCATGGGAACTACAGATGACTTACCACATTGTGACAAGTGTAGTCTCCACAGTTTTGGGGCTGTGACAGCAAGAACGTGATTGCAGGTGCAGGTGTGCTGAGATGGTTATGCTCCAGTACTGAGAGCCATAGGACAGGAGAGGGAAGGAGAAGCTTCTACCCCCGTTTAACAGAGCCACAGTGGATGAGTGATTTCTGTTCACCAGACACGCCTGTGACATCTACCTGTTTTTAACTTCAGACCTGAGAAGGTGATTTAACAGTCACTCAAATGGCAAGTAAGCAGACAAAAAGAAATCCACATGGCATGCCCAAGGGCAAGCGTCAGAAGAGACAACATAGAGCTCATAATATACAAAGAGCAGCAGTGCATTATCAACCTAAATGTTTACAGAAAGAGTATGCTTCTGATATACCAACGATAAACTAAAATAAAATTTTAGAAAGTCATTGTATAGCTACAAGAGAGTTTTAAAAATTGCATAATATGCAGTGTCTCAAGAAATATGTCACCATAACCTTTACTTGAAAGACTAAAAGAAAACTTAATTTGATTTTCAGAAAAAGAGTGGTGAATAAAAGTGTTTTAAAAACTGAAAAATTTTAGTATACATGGGGAAAATGTTGTTTGAAATGGTTAAACTTAAAGATATTGGTTAGAAATGTGATTATAAAACTAAATGATTGGTATAGGTTAGTAAGTGTCAGGGAAAGGAAAGTAAACAAAAGGCAATGATATGCCTCATCTTTTGTGGCAGGAGTCAAAAGATGCAATTCATGCTGAACCTACATAGGCTGAAAAACAAGGCTGATCTTCCGTGAGTCAGAGGGAGTCAATTTGAATTATAGGATGAATGAAACTTCTACGTATCCTGAGCTCTAAGTCACAGATGGAAATTATCCCTTCCAGTAAAGCACCCATGGCACATTTTCAAAAACTGGAAATCTGTTTACCACAAGTACTGTGATATAAAGGCAAAATCCCTCAGTCTGGCATGATCTAGACCTCTGGGGTGTGACTTATTTTTGCATTTTAACCCTCAACCACCACTTCCCAGCACCAACCATAGTTCCATCCAGATTCCACTGCCCCTGAGCTCTAATGGTGCCCACCCCTGGGATGATCTCATTTCTACCTCCCCCAGACCTCCTTCCACATCCTCTGCAGAGAGGCCTTTTGTGGCTCACCTACTTCTCAGGGCTCTTTCTCTTCCTGAATCCTTGTTCTGGTCATTGTCTGAATATCTCACTTGTCACAACTGGATTGGACCTTATTTTGTCCATTGTTTTGTTTTTTTTCCATGACTTGGTGTTAATTCCTAGAAGGTCTGGATCGTATAATCTTTACTTTTCTTCTTCCTTATTCTCCTCACTCCCCTTCCTCCTCCTTCTTTTTCCTTCTTTTATCTCCTTCTTTCTCCTTCCTCCTCTTACTCCTCCTCCTCCTTCTAAGTCTTCCCCTGCGCTAGGCTGTAGCTCACTGTTAATGCTTGGTTCACTGAATGAATGAAAACAAGAAAAGTTGTAAGAGCCTTAACCATAACACTGAGTTACATTTTGTCTTCCTTTCCTTGTTTTAAATTGCGATTTTGCCCATAAATGCATTCTGGAAATTGAGTCATTGGCATTTCATAGAACACATAATATCTTTGCTCTGAAAACAAAAGCAATCTTATACTTCAAATCTTTATAAAAGTAGAGTTAACTATAAGGCCACCTTTTACATCTTGATACAGTAGGGGATGGTGTTTTGGGTTGAATTGTGTCCTTTCAACCCCCCAAATTTATATATTGAAGTACTAACTCCCAGCACCTCAGAATGTGACTTTATTTGGAAATAGGGTCATTGCAAATGTAATTAGTAAAGATGAGGTCATACTGGAGTGGGGGAGACCGCTATTTCAACATGACTGGTGTCTTTATATAAAGGAGAAATTTGTGCACAGACGTGCACTCAGGGAGAATGCCATGTGAGGAAGGAGGCAGAAATGAGATTGATGTATCTATAAGCCAGGAAACACCAAAGATTTGCAGGAAACCACCGGAAGCTAGGAGAGAGGCATGGACAGATCCTTCAGAATCTCTCAGAACGAACCTCTCAGAAAGAACCAACCTTGCTGATACCTTGATCTTCTTTTTCTGAGGCGGAGTCTTGCTTTGTCGTCCAGGCTGGAGTGCAATGGTGCAGTCTTGGCTCTCTGCAACCTCTGCCTCCTGGGTTCAAGCAATTCTCCTGCCTCAGCCTCCTGAGTAGCTGGGATTACAGGCACCCGCCACTACGCCCAGCTAAATTTTGTACTTTTAGTAGAGACGAGGTTTGACCATGTTGGTCAGGCTGGTTTCAAACTCCTGACCTCAGGTTATCTACCCACCTCGGCCTCCCAAAGTGCTGGGATTACAGGCATACGCCCAGCCAATACCTTGATCTTAAACTTCCAGACTGCAGAACTGTGAGATAAGTCCTGCTGTTTAAGCCACCTAAGTTGTGGTTCTTTTTAATGGCAACCCTAGGAAACTAATATAGATGGTGGTTTTATTAAGAAAAAGAAAAATAAAGGCACTCTTATATTTGTATGTTTATATTAATTGCCCCGGAAGGCTCTTGGCAGCCTCAGAGGTTTTATAGCCCAAGTATTTCTGCAGGGAAGGAAGGGACATACCACATGATGAAAGGTAAGTTTTTGGTTTTCTGTAATCTGATTATAAGAAGGTTGTGTATGTGAGTGTGTGTCTATGTGTGTGTGTTTTAATAAGAATAACATGTGCAGCTAAAGCCATGGGATTATGCTCACAGGTTGCTACACTCATACAAAAATGAAAATATTTTATGAATACATGAGCTGTCCATCATGGGCGTGAATCTGCTGATTACCATAGTCTCTCATGCTCCGAACAGACTTCTTCATGAATTTTGAGTTATGCTTGGAAAATATCTTGCAGTTCAACAGGCCAAATATAAACCACGGGCTCTTGCTTAGGCACGGGCCTGGTCTTGCTTAGTATCGCCATCTTCCAAAACCTAATCTGTAACTGTACTAGCTTCCTAGGGATGCTGTGACAAAGCACCACAAACTGGGTGGCTTAGAACAACAGAAATGTATTGTCTCATCATTCTGGAGGCTAGCACCAAGGTCTGGAGTCCAGGCAGGGTATCAGCAGTGCCATGCTGTCTCTGAAACTATAGGGGAAGGACACTTTTTTTGTCTCTTCCAGCTTCTGGTAGCCTCAGCCAGTTCTTGGCTTGTGGTAGCATAATTCCAGTCTTGGTCTCTGTCTATTCGCAGTATCCACCCTGAGTCTCTTCATGCCGTCTTCTCTCTATGCATGTCCCTCTGTGTCCAAATTTCCCCTTTTCATAAGAACACTGTTTATGTAGGATTGAAGCCCACTCCAGCAACCTCATTTTAATTCCATCAGCTCTCTAAAGACCTCATTTCCAAATAAGATTGCATTCTAAGGTACTAGGGTCAAGACTTCAACTTATCTTTTTGGAGGTACACAATTCAACTCACAACAGTAACCAAAATGACTTTTCAGGCTGGTGCCCAGACTGCCTGTCATCTGACAGAATTTTCATGTATGGCTGTTCTGGTTGCAAATAGCAGGGCCTCACTCTCCCCATTGGCCTTGATCCCATTGCTCATAGTGGCATTCTGACATTCTTACAATTTGTATAACCTTTGTGCTATCTAATTTGACCCGAAAGCCCCAGAGTAGGCATGTTCTATGAGTATGTTGGGTTTTTTTTTTTCTAGCAGGTAACATTTCCAGATTAGCCGAGCCAAATGATATGGTAACATAATAGATTTCCACCTTTGCACACCTGAAGTGTATGACCTAGTCTAATCACTGACTGTGGAAACAGTAGCTAATATGACAAAAGTGCCGTCGGGGACTTCAGCACTTCATTATCGCAGGGATGGCTTCCAAAGCTAACCCCCTCAGTGAGAAACTCAGGCATCCCAGATTCCAGGAGTTTTGGAATAGAACCCCGTATTTGTATTGTGTTGGATTGATAATATTAAGAAGTTTACTTAACTTCTCCCTCTGAGTGTGTTTCCATTTTAAAAATAGGAGTGTTAATGCCTCCTTTGCAGAGTAGAGAGTGCTCAACACATGGTAAGTGCTCCTTGTCTGAAGGTTGCTTATTCCACTCCCTAATCATAGTGGCTACAAAAGATCATCCTTCAGACTCAAGTAACTGAAGCCTGTGGGCATTACATATTCTTGTACTTTTTCTTCTATTGTAAAATCTGCAGGACACTTGAAAGTTGTTGTTTATGTTGTTTGTGTTAAAACGCTTATTTTTTTAAGATGATTTTTAGATTCACAACAACATTGAGGGAAAAGCGAGATTTCCTATACAGCCCCTTCCCCTACTCAGGCATAGCCTCACCCATTATCAACATTCCTCACCAGAGTGGTTCATTTGACTTTTAATAATCTCCAAACCCTTAGATTCCAGAAAAAAATGCATAGGTTGTATAGTAGGGAAGAAGGTCATAGTTTATATTTCTTGAGATTATACACTTTCTCTCTCAAACCAACGGTTCTGGCCATGTGAGGATTTTGTCACTCCCAGCTGATTTGGAGATCATCACTTTTGCAATGCAATGTGGAACTCTTGTCTGCGTTTAGCCCTTTCTGAGGACACATTCTGTGTTTTGCTAGACTGAGGCAAGTTCTTGTGCTTTTTGTTGAAACAGGCAGTGCTGTACAGTGGGAAGATGCTGGAGGTACAAAGGAAAGGCCAGGCTGTGAATCCTAACACTAGCACTCGTTAGGCAAGCAATTTCACTTTTACCAGCTTCAGTTTTCTCAAAGTGTGAAGTTAGAGGGCAACCTATAGGCCCATCCTCATTTCCCACACTGATTGCAAATTTGTGGGTCTAATGCAAATTGCAAATATGAGAATCCTCAAAACTAGCCCTAGGTTCGATAATGCACTAGGAAGAACTCATAGAATGTGCTGAATGCTGTAATACTCACAGGTACAGTTTATTACAGGGAAGTGTTGCAGGTTAAAATCAGCCAAGGGTAAAGGGACATGGGGCAGGGTCCAAGAACATTTCCTTGTGGAGCTTCTAGTTGTCCTCTCCCCAGGGAGTATGGACAACTTTACTTTTCTGGCAAAAACATGTGACAATACACATAGGGTATTGTCAACCAGAGAAGTTCAGTCAAGCCCTGGGGTACAGAGATTTTACTGGGGCTCCATCACATTGACATAGTCGACCACCCACATGGCAGATCTCAGGCTCCTGTCTCTGAGAAGGCTGAGCTGATACCACATGGCTCAAAGCTCTCAGGCTGAATCATACTGTTAGGCTCTTCAGTGTGACCCAAGGCCCTCAGGTAAACAAAGACGCTCTTATTACATATGAGAATCATAAGAAATTACCTCCAGGAAGTCAAGGACTAAGGCCGTACCTCTTTTGGGGCAAGGTTAATAAATTCTTTACTACACACATAGATAGAACAAGTGGGTAATCCTTAGCGACCTGTCTAGTCTGTAAAATCTACAGTGATGCAAATGTGCAGCCCTGCTTAAGGGCATAGCCACCGTCACCTTGTTTAGGAACTGTCAGATCTGCCCTCTCATGGCCAGATGGCTGCATCAGCCCACTGGTACTCTCTGTGTGATATGCCCGAGGGTTTAGGGATGTTTCAGAAGGCTAGTTGTATCTGGCAAATGGGTAACTCTTAATTATTGTATGACATTTTTTTCTGTATTTAATGGTTAAGATTTAGGGAAGGGGCAATATGTGAAAAAAACACGTTATGAGAATGTTTCACATTTAGACCTTGAGAAATTGGTATTTATTTATGCCAGTTACCTATGTCTCTGAGGTGCCAAGAGGATGAATTAATATTTTATTTCACTTGTGGAGATATTCAGAAACATTAAAGTCCTTGGTCCTCATGAGAAAAGAATTTTCTTGAGACTTGAAAGCATTACTGCAGACATTTTGCTAACACATTTTTTGTGAGCTGTGTTAATTGCACCTACCTTTATCAGTCAGAAGTTTTGCTGATTTAAATCAGATCCCAGCTAACCCAAGCGGGGCTGCACTGAAGGCCACATCTCTATTGCCCAGATTTCCCAGGGGACTCTGGAAATTAACCAGAAGCCCTCCTGCTCGAAGACCAACTCTTGAGGCGTATATGATTTGCATAGAGGTTCCAATGTGCCAAGTTCTTAGAAGTTTCTGGGAGCCATACAGATGATTACTATTCCAAATGTTCTCATCTTGGGTTCCACCCTTTTTATTCAATGAGATTTGACTTTTCTACTTTTTCACTCCCATCTTCACCACACCAAAATTCATATCTAACAGTCATTGTGTATATTATGAAAGTTGGTCTCAATTTAGTCAAACCTGGGTTTCAGGGGATATAGCTCACATAAAAAGGAATGGGAGGTATCATTATATGGAAATACCTGCTGTGTGCCAGAGCATCCTTTAAGGTATTTTGTTTTCTGTGATATTTTCAAACCCTCCACTTTACAGATGAGGAAAGTCAGGCCCAGAGAGGTCAAGAAAATCACTTCAGGCCAAACAAGGTCACATGGAAAAGTAGGGATTCCTGTGAACTCACCCTGTGTTCTTCCTACTCCTTCATGCTGCAGAAACTCTCCCTGAATCCAAATGATGCCGCTGCTGAAGTGTGGGCTGGTTAGAGTGCATCACACAGAGCCAAGCCTCATTGTACGGGAAGGTAAACTGCTGCCTTCAGATGGATTTTGTGTATCTATGGATATCATCAGTTGCCCAGCATTTCTGTGTTATCTGAGAAGTATTTCATTGTATTACTGGCATGTTCATGGTGAATAAAATGGCAAAAGTGTTATTAAATTATATTCTTTGCTGTCCCCCAACACAGCTATAAAAGGCAACGCTTTATGGAAAGAATGATACATTCAAAATTCAGTATTCATCTTTTGCTAACATTTTCCTGGTTTGTGTGTGTTTTTATTTGAATACATATTATTAGTCAATGTAGCCATAAACTGAAAACCTTTGTGTTTGAATTTTTGTAAATTGCAATCTTGCCCTTGAGAAAAAAAAAATTTAAAAATGCTATTTATGCTTGTTACTACTAATTAGGGTGGACACAAAACAATCGAATATCTGGATTTGACCATTGGAGGGTTACAGATTGGTTAGAACATCAGCATTTATCATATTTAGATGACTGATTCATTTGCAGCCAGTCATGTGGCTGCTGAAATTTTCCCTTAAGTCAACGTTTCTGATCTCCATATGTAGGAGAGTCGTACCACCGTTCAAATTGGCATTGATCAGGAAGGGCCAAGAGAATTTTCTTCTTCTCTTTCTGAAGTGGTTTTCTCAGGCAGGACTGAGAGAAGCTTCAACAGTTGAACAGCTGTTGTCTGTCCTTTTTCCTCTCTGTAAAATATTTCCTGATTTGCACTGATTTCCCTTCCTGAGACTTGAAACAGCAAAACAGAAACAAATTAGGTGTGTATCAGGAATGAAATACCTCCTGTTTATTGAGAGTTTAATAATAATCTTTGCAATTAGCGTTTGACATCCTGGAAACTCCTACTGCTGAGCTTATACACACACACAGAATTTTCAAACCCAATGTGGCCAACACCCCCACAGACACCTGGAGAATTCAACTGCTCCTAGAAAAAGTGGATTGGAATTATTTTATTCCTTTGCAAACTTTTTGTTGATCTCTAACCTATTGGGGTCCAAGCATGAAATGGCTCTGTTGTATTCAACTTCTGACACTTACCCTCCTTAAATTGGTCAGGAAGCCCCTTTTGTGACGTCTTGGATAAATTTTAAAACTTTTTGTTACAGTTGCTTATTTTAAGTCATGCCAGGTCAGCAATCCCATTACTGGGTATATACCCAAAGGATTATAAATCATGCTGCTATAAAGACACATGCACACATATGTTTACTGCGGCACTATTCACAATAGCAAAGACTTGGAACCAACCCAAATGTCCAACAATGATAGACTGGATTAAGAAAATGTGGCACATATACACCATGGAATACTATGCAGCCATAAAAAAGGATGAGTTCATGTCCTTTGTAGGGACATGGATGAAGCTGGAAACCATCATTCTCAGCAAACTATCACAAGGACAAAAAACCAAACACCGCATGTTCTCCCTCACAGGTGGGAATTGAACATCACACACCGGGGCCTGTTGTGGGGTGGGGGAAGGGGGGAGGGATAGCATTAGGAGATATACCTAATGTTAAATGACGAGTTACTGGGTGCAGCACACCAACGTGGCACATGTATGCATATGTAACTAACCTGCACGTTGTGCACATGTACCCTAAAACTTAAAGTATAATAATAATAAAGAGTCATGCCACTTATTATGCCTTAGTCCGGTCCACTAAAACAAACACAAAGTTTAGTTCTTCCTTTTCCTTTCCTCAACCTGACCAAATTTGTGGTGATTTCACTTATACTATTGAAGTGTGCTTGTGTGTGTGTGTATGTGTGCGTGTGAGAGAGAGGGAGGGGAGAGAGAAAGAAGGCGGCAGGGGGGTGCGGAGAGAGAGAGAGACCTCTTTTTTACCCCATGAGTAGAGTAAGGAGAAAGTAGAAGAAAACAGGCATCTCCCTGCTTATGCAAGACTTGTTTCAGATAACTGGTCACCCAAATGGTGGTCTCAGCCTCAGAAGTTGGCACCCCAGTTAGTTCATTCCTGGGTTTTTTTGTTTTTCAGTGACACAGGGCACTTTTTTCTACCTGTGTTGGAGTAGAGTGTCACAATAATAGCTGAATGGAGCCTTGAACTCCTGGCTTAAGCGATCCTTCCACCTCAGCCTCCTGAGTACTTGGGACTAAAGGTGTGCATACCCTGCCTGGCTATTTTTTTTTAAATTTTTATTTTTGTAGAGAAGAGATCTTGCTATGTTGCCCAGGGTGGTCTAAAACTCCTGGTCTCAAGTGATCCTCCTGACTTGGGATTACAGGCATGATGCACCACGCTTGGCCTCAATCCTGTTTAACTGACCTCATTGGACACTTGGCCGTTAACTTCTGGCTGGCCAGGCTAATGCTTCTCTGAGCTGTTTGTCTCTCTGGCCTCATCTGCAGCAGGCCCTGCAAGTTGGTCACCTGCAATTTCATCTGCCATCCATAGCACTGACTCTGGATCTTGACAGGGGACTTAGGGGCTCACATTTATTTTCTCCCCTCCTCTTGCCTGTACTGCCAGGTCATTTCTCTCTAACACTCTTCCTGAATTCCAGTAGCAAAGGTCTGTGATCCTGTGGCTAGGTAGATACCCACAATAGAACTAGCTGTTTGTCTCCATTCTTGAAGATCCTCCCAAACTTCACAAGTCTGTTGGTTGAGAGCCCCATCCTTTGCTTGGGATGAGAAACCTATGGAGAGGGGTATGCCCCTTGAGGTGATTTCTGTTTGTCTTTCCATCCTTCTCTTGATGGCTATTATCTCAGTGGAAATAGACCTAACACCCCAGAGAATCTTATAACTTGGTTCTCAGCAGGGCTCTGTCTTTCCTGTAATTACTGTGTATTTGATTATCTCTGGGGCTCTGAAAAGACCTCAGTCTGTACCTTCCAGTCCATTCTGATACATTCTTGTGAATCACCAAGTCCATCTCTTTTTCTATGTTGGTTAGTAACCCAAGAAAATAGGAGATTGATAAAGTATCACATTACAGAACATTTAAATAGTATCATAGACTCCATTGCCTTTCTTCCCAGAATGTGAGTCATTGCCTTTGTGATGTTATGACATAGTTTATAGCAAACATAAAATGGCACTGTTTAATTCTGCTCTAGTGGTCATCAGGATCTGAAAATAAAACATATCACCAGAGTTTTTGATGACTCCAGTCTCAAATTTTCAGTTTCTTTGATTTTTCTAAAATGAAAGCAGAACTTTTTCATCCTGTCTTTGTTTATGGCTTATGTTGTCTAAGCAGGAAGATACTGACTCATTAACATCTCAACATTTTTGGTAGAACTGTAAAGAGCTTTTCAACTTTTTAATCTGAATATTGGGAAGTCAGATATATTGAATTAGACTTAAAATTGGGTAGTGATTATTGTTCATTTCAGTATTTTCCAATCAAGCTGACAGTTATGAAATTCTAAATCAATATATTTGCTTTATCTTTTATATCTTTAAAAATAGTTAGGCAGGTATACAAGAGTTGGGGTATTTCTATATATTTAAATATTTTTAAAAATAAAGCATGGAACATTTTGAATTCATTGTGGATGAGGGGGCTGATGAGAGTTGAGGTGGTAAGAGCAGAGTTAATTTAGGAAGCAGCCCTGTTGTGGATGGGAAATGTTTGCTGCTAATGTCTATTTTTCTGTGCTGGAGCTGACAGAAATTTCCTTTTTGTTTATCACTTTGAGCCTTTTGAATACTGGCAGTCATGACACTTATGAAAATGTATACTATATAGTTAATGTCCTTTTTTAATCTCATGGAAGTGAAGTTATTTTCTTTCTTTGATTGCATGCAATGGATGCTTCTAAAAATCACTCTCTAGTGATTCAAATATTAGATTAACATACCAGTTTGCTGAGTAAATTCTCTGAACTCTATCAGAACAAAGAAGAAACTACAAGAAAACAAGCTGAACTCAAGAGCTTGCTTTCTCTCTCTCTCTATTTTTTCTTTTGGACCCCACAATTTCCAGCTATGTCTTAGGGAATCAGCTCCAAATCAGTCTGCTGCTAAAATGATCATTGTGTACACCCAGAATAAAACATAAAAATATCTGCATTCACAAAAGGAGGGGTGGGTGTGAATGAGGGCATTCTAAAAAAGGGTTTAGGCATTGTAGACATTTGTTCTAGACAGGTTGTTAAAAATCAACATGAATGCCAAAATCCAGGAAAAGAGGAAAGAGCACTTCACAAGCAGTCCTGCTCATATCACCTTGCCTGTGTCACACCAGCCACTGCTGCACTGTAACCACTAGCAGTTTTAAGGGCCTCACTTTCACCTAGGATTTTGCATAGCATTGACTGTCTTGATATGATTTCACATGTTATTTATGTCAGGATTCAGATTACTGAACTGGCATGAGTTGTGCTCATGAAAAAATATAACTAAAGTCTGTATTAGTGTTCTTCAGAGAAACAACATATATGTATGTTCTGTTACATTATATATATATGTAGATACAGATATATACCTGTTATAAAATATATGTTTGTTCTGTTATATTAGACATATACCTGTTATATAATATATATGTTATATAGAATATATAATATATATAATACTATATATATTATATATATATACACACACACATACAGAGAGTGAGAGATTTTATCATAAGGAATTTGTTCAAGCAATTGTGGAAGCTGGATCTGGTTAAGTCCAAAGTATGAAGACCCCTATTTCCCAGTTGAAATCTGAGGGCTGGAAGCTCTGTAGAACAGGAGCTGATGTCCCAGTTTGAAGGCCATCAGACAGGAGGAGCTGATGTTCCTCTGGGAGGCCAAGTTGTGCACCACTTTTGCAGAAATACCAGTGGCCATTTATTTTAGTTCTGCATTTCATAGCCTTGTCAATGATGAGGACTGATTGGGATCTGTATCCAGCTAAGGGTGATTATGAGAATTCAATCAAATGTCCTGTCAATCTTGACCTGTGGCAAATGGGCTTAAAAATCATGTTCACTAGATTTCATTACAGCATCTTATTCTTTAAATATATTCAAGTACCTACTTAGTAGCTGAAGAACAGGCTGGAAAGTGAAAATCACAGCAAAATAAAAGTTGATACCTTTGAGGAATTGAGTGATCCTGAGTGTAGCCCTGATTTATCCTTTTTTTCCAGCTAAACTTTCTGTTTAGGTGATCTCATCAGATTCATGACTTTAATATTCTCCATGCTGATGATACCAAAATATGTTTCTCAGACTCTGACTTCTCCAATAAACTCTGCACTCATTTATCCAGCTGCTCCCTCAGTATCTCCAATTATGTGTAATAGACACCGTAAGCTTTTTATATCCAGAACAGAATTTTGAGTCCCTTGCCTAGAAAAATCTGATCATCACCTGGTGTTCCTCATCTTAATTAATGACTTCATTTGTCCTGTTGCTTAGATGTGGCAGATTGTATTTCTCCAAATGACCACAGCAAAGATCTCATCCCACGTGCTTTTCTTACAGTGTAACTTTGGTATTCATCCTATGAGAGTTGGGGTCTGTAATCTTTCTGCTTGAAACTTTGTGGTGGCTTTTGACTGTCCCCACCAATAGAATACAGTAGACGTGATGTTTGGTGACTTCCAAAGCTGGGACAAAAGGCAAAACAACTTCCCTCTGGCCCTCTTAGGAGATGCTTGCCCTGGGGCAAGCCATTCACCAAGCTCCAAGGAACCCACACTCGCCAACATGGAGGAACCACATGGAAAGGCCAACTCAGAGGGACAGTGAGTTCCAGGCTGAAGCCAGCATCACTTGCCATAGATGTGAATAAACCAGCTTTAAAATCATTCCTACCTCTAGCTTTTGAGTCATTTGGTGATGGTCCATACACTAGGGCAGACATACCCTTAAACTTTGAGTAATTTGTTATGCAGCTTTAGTGACTAAAACATTGCAAGATAATGCATTAGCCATCCTGATTCCTCTCATTCACACACCCATATATCCTGTAACTGTACTTTCAAAATATAGCCTGCATGCTGACCACTTCTTAACTGTCCACCACAGCTGGTCCTGAACACCATCACCTCTTGCCTTATTTACTATAGATGACTCCTAACTGGTTTCTCTGATTTTTCCCTACTACAGATTATATTTTCCAAGTAGAAGCCAGATTGATTCTTTAGAAACGTTCACAAGATCAAGTCCCTATTTTACTTAAAACCTCCAGTAACTTCCTATCACATTTAACATACTACCAAACTCCTCACTATCCCCTATTAGGCCCTGTGCTACCTGGTGTCTTTTTCTCTGAACTCCTTTCTACCACTCTCCTCCAGACTCACAATACTCAAGCCACACTAGACTCTTACTCTTCCCTAAAACATTAATCTCTGAGCCATAGATAGCTAACAGCAGAATACATGCCTGTCTTCCATAGCTGTGGGATTGCTCCTGGGTCTGCAATGTCCAGCTCTCTTTGAACCCATAAGATTAATTCTCACCAGTAACATGGTGCTTCTTGGATAGGGTTATTAGGAAGCAAGTGTGCTGCCCTCACTCTCTGGATGCCAAGGACTCCATAGCCCTAGGTGATGGCAAAACTTGAAGGTGGAGGCAGCCTAGGTCCCTGAATCACCACATGGAGGAAAGCTGTCCATCAACCAGGAACGCCTGCATTGGACTGTGAATGTGAATAAAACTTAGGGTGTTGTTAGGCTACTGAAATTTTAGAGCTCATTCATTATAGTACCTGGTATTTCTCTACCTAATAGTGTTATTCCCTCCTCAAAGCCTTTATATTGGCTACTGCCTGCTGCTCTTCTCTCCCTTACATCATTCTCTCCCTTGCATCATGACTCTGCCCCCCATTTAAAATATTTAAAATAGTCAGTGCTCCCACCCCCACACGAATTTATACTTTGTCATACTACCCTGCTTTATTTCCTTCATATACTTATCACTGTCTGAAATATTCTTATGTATTTTATTTTACTTCCGTTTCTAGTAGAATGAATACTTTGTAATAGCAGGGACCTGGTCTGTCTTTCTGTTACTCTATTCCCAGCACCTAGGTGGTGCCTGGCATGTACCAGTGATCAGCATTTGCTTCTGGATAGGAGCAATTACATCAAGTAGACCGAGAACAGGAATGAAGAGTTGGGAATTAGGGTCTTTGGAAATTAAGTTAGCACCACTTGATAAATGATTCAACTTCTCAGTGCCTTCTCACAATTGTCAAATTGGGATAATATCTATTTTATGGAATAGTCTGATGATTAAGTAAAATTTGTATGTAAACTGCTAAGACCTATAGCTTTTTAAATTAATATTTGTTCTTATTTCATGCAGGTTTGGAGGGGAGGAAATAATTGCCAACCTTAACATTTATTCTTCTAAAATAAGTGAGGGCACTGCCACATTTGATATAAGTCTCATAGGGTGGCCTTTCCAGATTGGAGTAGTCAACTACTAGGGGTTGTTAACACTTTTATAATATGAAGGTCTGTTAGTCAGATACTTTGACACATACTACAGCAGGGAATTTTACAGCCCTGGCAATTGTTTTGACCATCACACCATCTCTAAATGATATGATAGAATGGCCACATCCTGTTCTGACTGAGCCGTGCAAGTTCTGCCTTTATTAGTTTCCATGTGGTATTGTGAATTCACAGTTTGGTGGTTGGAGGTATGTAGATGACAAATCTTTGTTTATTCAGATCTCCAGGAAGCAAATGGTATTCTTTTGCAGAGTGGCCAATTCAGGAAAAACACGTTTATAAGCTATTGTTATGTTTTTCAAATTAAAAACATGAATGAAACATAAGAGAGTTATATTGTAATACTGAAAAATATTGAGGAAAACATGAAATTCTCCTCTCCCTTCACCTCTTCCAAGTTTCCTGTCCAAGAAAAACTTGAAACTGTCAAGGAATTTAGTGGGTGAATTTTCCACATAGATGGTATTGTGCCCAAGGGAGCAAAGATTTGTTTTGGGGAGGAGTGAAAAAATTTTACTCATATGCGTAAAGTACAGATATACATATAACACATAAACAGATATACAGGCTGGGCATGGTGGCTCATGCCTGTAATCCCGCCGAGGTGGGTGGATCACCTGAGGTCAGGAGTTTGAGACCAGCCTGGCCAATATGGTGAAATCCTGTCTGTACTAAAAATACAAAATTAGCTGGGCATGGCGGTGGATGCCTGTAATCCTAGCTACTTGGGAGGCTGAGGCAGGAGAAGCACTTGAACCCAGGAGGCAGAGGTTGCAGTGAGCCAAAAACAAGCCCCACTACACTCCAGCTGGGGCAACAGAGTGAGACTCTGTCTCAAAGAAAAAAAAATAACAAAACCAAAACCAGATATACAGTCTATGTGGGATATTAAAATTTCATGGCGAGGGGATTTCATGGGAGTGATTAGGAAATAAATGTCTACATTTCTTTAGGGGAGTGATGATGAAATGAATATTTCAGAAACAGTGGTGTAGTGTTTATCCTCCTGTTGCCTTGTTTGCACCCACACACAATATATATGTATAAATATTTTTGTTGTTGACTTTTATAATCATTGGAATATGAATAAGGAAGAATGTTGCACAGTCACTGATAGTCATCTGATGACAGGAAGGGGACCCAGCATTGGCTTGAGGCCTGTGTTGTAGATGTCAGATCAGAGAACTCCCTTGTGTTGTCATTGTGCTACTGCCTCAAATAACTGTGAAACAAATACTACCCCCAAGAATTCCCAGTCTATGAAATAATACATATCCTCATGGTTTGAACCAATTTGAATCATGCTTTCTAGCACTTATTCCCAAAAATGTCATATTAGAAAGCACCCTATACCAATTAACACTCTCATATACATTTATATGTGTGCTCATATATGAGATTCTCTTCAGAAAAAAAAAATCTATACTATATTTGCTGGATTGCTTACTGACAATTTGTATCTTATTACAGATTGTATATTAATTTATACTGCTCACTTCTCCTTTGGATTTGTTGTGGTTTTCTTCATGCTTTTAGGACCTTTTTATTTTTCCTGATGTGGTCTTTATTGTTAAAATATATTGCAAATATGTTCTCCAAGTCTTCCACTTTTAACTTCATTTTTTTTTTAGAGATACAGAAGGGCTTGTGAAAATTATGCATTCTAGGTTGTGTCTTGCTTAGGGAGACCTTCCCAGCCCAATACTATGAATAGTTTCCACTAACATCCTTTGGTAAATGCATAGTTTTACTTTTTATGGCTTAAGATGTTACATAGAGGTTACATGCATATATGGTGGATATATGTAGAGTGTAATGTATTGTGTAAGTTTATTTATTTTTTCCCTAAATCAGTAACTCATTTTCTCATTACCATTTACTATTTTTTACTTTTCTCACTAATTTGGAATTCTAATTTTCATATACTAAATTAATATGCATGCCTGAATTTGTTTCTAGATTTTCTAGGTGGGTTACATTCATTTCTCCACATTTTCTTATGCCTATATTACCCTCTGTTAATTACTGTAACTTCTTTGTGGGTTTTGTGGGATGGTTGCGGCACATGTTCTATTCACAATCCTTCTTCACATTGTTCACTTTTAAATTTTTCTTGCTGTTATGTATTTTAACTCAAATGAATATAGTTTTATTGTGTTTCAGGGTTAGGTGAGCAGAGAGAGGGAGAGTTTTCTTACTAAAATTTAATTTATTTATGTAATTGCATAGATGACTATAACTTCAAATTCTCATGGCTATTTCTTTATCCAATAAATTTTTTAATGTTGTGGCCTTTTTAGGATGTAGTAACTTAAAGGCAACTTTCTTACCTTTCAACCTTCTCATTTGTATCCCACTTTATAATTTACCGAGTTAGTTTGCATTTTCTGATTTCTTCCTCAATGGAACCTTATGAAAGGTTTGTAATTTTAATGTCCATCTTCAGAAGTGAAAACTGAAAGTCAAAAGAATGAAATAATTGAGTAAGTCATATAGCAGCATAGTAGCAGTAATGGAACTAGAATTTGTCTGTTCCACTTAGTGCAGTGTCTCGGTAATTAGAACAAACTAATTCTGGTATCAAGCGTTACACTTTGTTTACTGGTTAAAGAGACATACGAGATTTCCTCCATACTGTCCTGCAGCCTGGGCGTTCCTTTGCCATAGTTGCTGGATCGCCTCCCTGTTTGAACAAAACAGGACAGAGGAAAAGGTAACCTGGAGGAGAATGCCACATCCGCTGATTTCAGGCTCGATGAAGTTCAACACTTCCTATTTCAAGGTGGTGACACCCTCTACAAATCCCTGGCTTTAGGAAGAAACCTCTTGATAAAGACCCCTCATCCACAGAGTTGCCTCCAAGCCTATCCTTGTTCTAATCCTTCTTCTCTGCATGACCAAAACTTGGTATTCAAAATTCAATCTTAGTGTTTTCTGGCTGTGCTAAAGGGGATGTGGGGACCTCATGTTTGGCTTACCTGCACCTTCTAAGCTAGCACCACTGTCTTACTTAATGGACTATAATTTCATCTCCTTAAGCTCTCTTCAGAATGCTATAATGAAGGAGGTGTGACTTGGGTTTGGAAATGTGGTGGCAAATTATCTATATATGAATTAACATGTATAATTTAATACACATCATGAATAATGATGAATTGCAAGTTTAACTTGATCATTTAAGTAGAGGGTAAAATTTCTCTTTGTCCCTGGTATATTTTATAGA